>NC_000006.12:1423636-1575151 GCF_000001405.40 Homo sapiens | reverse complement strand
GCGGGGGATTAGGAGGAAGGGAGCTCAGGTTTATTGAGTTGCTAGCTGGGACAGTGATTAACACTTCAAGGCGCGGGAAGGAGAGACCTAGTGAGCAAACGCCAAGGCAGCCCTCCCTGCATTCTCCAGACACTTAGAAGATGCAAGGCTGAGAAGGCTCTGCTGTTTTTTTCACAGATGAGAAAGCTGAGACTCCAGGAGGGTGAGCGTGGAGCTCAGGGACACAGGGTTCACAAAGGTTGAGTCAGGGACCGTGCCTTTCCCCTGTGGGAACTGCCTTTCTAGGGCCATCGAAGAAATTTTCAGAGCCAAAAAATCTGATCATGATCTGATAAAGGAACTCATCATTCATAATTTAAACTGTTCTGGAAAATCAGAGCTGTGGCCATCAGGTCATTATATGGGGAAAGGATACCGCCTGGGTCATTTGCCAAGGCTGCTGGTCCGGATGGGGCCCATTGTGGGTGCAAGGCCTGGAGCTCATTCAGCTGAGAGTGGATGCCTTGGGGGCAATTGTGCAAGCTGGGAAACCTGGGGTGGGAGAGAAATCGCTGAGTGAGGATTATTCAAAGTTGCCCGTTCCTGTTCCAGGCCGTCAAGTCTGGCCCAGGATTGCAGATGGGCAAGAACTGGGCCTAGTTGGTGCAATCTTGCTTTAAGTTGTTTGCCCTTGAAGTAGGAAACAGCAGTGCAAAGAATATAAAGGAGATGGGGTGTGGATGGCAGCTGTGGCTCCCCTTGTCCCTGTGAGTTTCTCAGCTCTGTGCCCAAGCTCCCTGCTCTTGGCAGGCTGCACGGCGTGGGTCGACTGCCAGTGTGGGGGAATGTTGAACCGTGTGCTCACTGCCTTTTATATTTCTAGCCACATCAGCCCCAGAAACAGCAGAGACAACCATAGAAGGCAACGCTTCTCCTTGGTGAGGCATGTCCCCCAAGGCTGGCGTGAGGGGCGCTGAGGTTTATGCAGAGTGATTGCTGGGCTGCCTCCCTTTCTCTGGGCCCAGGAGTTTCCCTCTGATGCCTGCTAGGGGCTTTCCGTGAGCAGGCCTGGCCATGCCCACACATGATGAGGAGACCCGACTTTTCACCCAGAGGTTGCAACCTGGCAGCTCACAGGTTGGATTCATTCTGCAAATGTGTTTTGTTGGATCCACATAGTGTTTCCAAACATTCTGAATCATTATTTTAAAAATCAGGAATATTTAAAGTCTGGATCTCTAGCTTCTGTTTCAAAAGTCAGACCATCTGGCAATACTGTACCTGCATTCCACATGACAATTGGTGACGGGAAGCCCTGTGAACCTGGGGAGGCTATGAACACATCTGCGGATGATCCTCAATCAGAAAGCAGACCATGAGAAAGGGCAGCACACGGATGCCTGCTCCTGCTCTGCTCACCTGTGCCTCTTTGTGCAGCTGGATCTGCCAGCCTATTTGAATCTAATCCCCGTTCAATATTTGCATTTTTGTGAATACCCCTCCCTTTGATTCTTTGCTCACCAAACAACTTCCCTATTATAATTTGGCTTCAGTACTGACCACCCTGAATAAGAGAAGGCACCAGATCTCTGGACTGTGGTGAATGCAACCAAGTAAACTCTACCTTGTGCAACACTTCAACCCCCTACCTCATTGTATCCCTTCCTTTTTAGCATCGACAACTGTAGGAACTGGCATCTGTACGGAATCGAGGGGCCTGGCCAGAGGCTCTAACTGCTCTAACTGAAAAAGCTGCTCTAACTCCTGCGAGCTCACTGGCTAGGATTCCCCAGCCGTTGATGGCAAGTGGTTCTGGATCTCTCCAGCATCTCACAATGCTCTTTTAATTTCCACCTGCTGATCAGGAGGTATAAGAGAAGGAAGCAAATCTGAGAACAGAACTATCACTGGAACACATTCTGAATGTTACCCCCAGTTCCAGTTATCTTTTGCTGTGTAATAAGCCACCCCAAACTGCAGGGCCTAAAACAGTCATTCTCTTTGTCTGACAGGTTCTGTGGGTCAGATTTTGGTTGGGACTTGGCAAGGACAGCTTGTATCTGTTGCACAATGTCTGGTCCTTAGCTGAACAGCTGGGGACGATTTAAATGTTTGGGGCTGGCATGTGGGCTGAGATGACTTGATGGCTTGGCTTAGCTGGGTTTCTCCATGTGGCTTAGGCTTCCTTATAGTATGGCAGGCTCAGGATAGCCAGACATCTCACAAGAGAGCTGAGGATTCCTACAGCAAGTCTTCATCAGACAGGGCAGAATCTGCATGATATTTTATGATCTAGCTTTGAAATTGCTTATTTTTTTATTTTTAAAAGGAAAAACATATTCCAATACAGATTGGTTTTAAATGAAAGTAATTTTATCTCCCCCTCCATCCTTCCATTAACAATTTCTTAAATATTCTCCCCTAAGCATGATTTTGCGTAAATAAGCACATATGATGAACTCACTTCTGGAATGGTGGTGTGAGGAGTTCCACGGACATGTTCCCTAGCCAAACAACCATAGCTAATTAGAATTATTTTGTTAAAGCTCAACCATTTAAAACTTGTGGATGTTGTCTTAAGAGCATTAAATGAATTAACAAATAGTTTTTTCAAGAAACTCTATTAAATCTCTGTAAGAAGAGCAAGGGTCTGTGGAACTTAAGCCGCAACCTGCTCTCCCCACCAGCTCATCATGATGGCAGTCACACTCCAGGTGTGTGTGCTCAAGACATGGGGCTTCCTCTCCCACCAGCTCTCAGTCAGGGGCTACTGTACCTATTCAGAAGGGGCAGGCCACCAGCATTTCACATCTTCCCAAGTTCTGTGTTGAATAGGTTAAATTCCATGTGAGTGTGGCTGAGGTCAGGGGCTCCCTTCCTCCATTCAGCTCTTTTTCATAGAGTGGAAGCTCTACCCCAGATGTGGCAGGCTAGGAATACTGTGACCCCAGTTGCTTTTGCCCAGCTCACTCATTGGGTAGAAGTTCCATGCTGGGAGGGGCAAGGCAAAAAGATCAGAGAGGCTACTTTCCCTGCCCAGGATGCTGCTCTTAAAGATGGGGTGTTGCTCAGCAGTGGGGAGAGATTTTTGCCTGGCAGAAAGTGGGCCTTAAGAACAGAGACCTCTGAAGCTTTCCGTAAATGAGCTGACTTTATTTAGAACAGAATGTGGGGGAAGTTCACGCCTAAGGGAGCTCTCAAAAACAATAGACATTCTGGTGGTAAGCACTGAAGAAGAGGCTGGAAGCTCCATGAGAGCAACAAGTGAAACTGTGGATCAGCTAGATTATAAAAAAATAACCATGGAAAGAGACATCTAAGAAGGGCCTTCTTGAGGCTCAAAAACAAAAACAAAAAATCTCAAAGCTAGCTCAAAAACTATCCTTGCAAAGGGGCTTGAACTTGATTGACTGAGACCGTGGAGCAATGTATGCACCAGGACACTATCACAAACAATAGAGCAACCAACAGGCAATTAGTAGAGTCTAATAGCTGGATGAGATATCAAGAGACATAGAGATAGACAGCTTACAGACAGATCAGGTAAACAAACAGTGAAAGAGAATCCTGCTAAAACCACTGTTATCCCATGATGACTATGTACGTGCTCAAGGCTGTGCTTTCTAAGGAGCAACATCAGTGCCTTTACACTGCAGGAAAAGTGGACTTCACCCAGATGGGCCAGTCAAATTACTAAACAGATAAACAACAAAGAACAACAATCTCCAGAGACAGGGGCTTCAGGGAAAATCAGTATTCTGAGTGGCTATAGTATATTATCTAAAATGTCAAATTTTCGACAAAAAATCATGAGGCACACAAATAAACATGACAGGGAAACTCATACATGGGAGGTAAAAGCAGATAACACAAACTGTCAGAGGGCCCAAACACAAGACTTAACAAAGATAATCATCACAAATATATCCAAAAAACTGAAGGCAACCATGCTTAAGGAAGTAAGAGAAGAGATGATGATGCTGTCTCATTAAATAGAGAATATCAATAAAGAGACAGAAATGATTAAAAAGATTCGAATGGAAATTCTGGAGTTGAAAAGTATAATAACCAAAGTAGAAAATTCACTAGAGGAGTTCAACAGAAGGTTTGAACTGCCAGAAAAAAAGAATCAGCAAACATGAAGATATATTAATAGAGACTGTGAAATAAAAAACAGAGAGATAAAAAATGAAGAAAAATGAACAAAACCTCAAAGAAATGTGGGACACCATAAAGTGTACAGATATACATGATGATTATATAAGAAGAAGAGGGAGAGGAAAGAGCAGAAAAAATATTTGAATAAGTAATGGCTGAAATGTATCACATTTGATAAAAAATTAATATACATATCCAAGAACCCCAACAAACTCCAAGTAGGATTAATGCAAACAAATCCATGCCCAGACACATCATATTAAAAATGTTAACCCTCCAAAACATTAACAGTTGACTTCTCATCAGAAATAGTGCCATCCAGAAGGCAATGGGATTCCATATTCAAAGTGCTAAAAGAAAAAATCCAACCAAGAATCTTATATCCAGAAAATCAATCCTTCAAAAAAGAGGGTATAATAAAAATATTCCCAGATAAACAAAAACTAAGAGATTTTATTGCTGGAAGACCTATCTCACAAGAATACTCAAGGGAAAAATTTTCAGGTTGACAAGTGACCCCAGATGGAATTTTGAGTTTACATAAAAAACAAAGGGCATCAGTAAAGGTAAGCATGTAATTATAAAAGACGTGGATGTAATTATAAAATAAATGGATATTTATTCTTTCTTCTCTTAACCTATTTGAAAAGCAGTGGTATAAAACAATATGTATTTAATTGTATTGTTGAGCCAAAACATATAGAAATGTAATATATTTGACAAGAACAGTATCAAGGATGTGAATGTGAACAAAGCTGTATTTGTGTAAGACAATAACACCAGATGGCAACTGGAATGTACAGGAACAAATGAAGAGGGCTATAAATGGTAAATAATAAGGTTAATGTAACAAACTTCATAATTATAAACTTGTTCTCCTTTCTTCTCTTCTTTAAAAGACATAAAATTATGTAATGCAATAAGTATAACTGTACCATTGGGTTTGTTATATATATATATGTATATGTGCTATTATTGTTATATATATATATATAATAGCATAAAAAAGGATGGAAAGGTATAGAGCTATGTAGAAGCAACACTTCTATATCTTATTGAAATTAAGTTACTATAAATCTGAAGTTGATTCTAAGTTAAGGTGTATATGATAAACCATGTAAAAGCCACTAAGAAAATAACTCAGAAATACAGTGAAAAATTATTAAAGCAATTAAAATATTACACAAGAAAATATTTACTTAATGCAAAAGAAGCAGTAAAGGAGAAATAGATGAACAAAAAAGACATGAGATATGTGATATGTAGAAAACAAAGAGCAAAATGACAGACATAAGTCCAACTTTATTTATTTATTTGTTTTTTTAATTATACTTTAAGTTCTAGGGTACATGTGCACCACGTGCAGGTTTGTTACATATGTATACATGCGCCATGTTGGTGTGCTGCACCCATTTGTCCAACTTTAAAAAATAACATTAAATGTAAATGGATTAAACAATCCAACAAAAAGGTTGATATTTTCAGACTGAATAAAAAAATAAGACCTAACTATAAGCTGTGTGTAGGAGACACACTTTAGAACTAACAATACAAATAAGTAAAAAGTAAAAAGATGAAAAAACATTTATCATGCGAACAGTAACCATAAGAAAGAAGTGGCAGCTCTGCTGATATCAGACACTGTAAAACAAAAAATGTTACTAAAGGCAAATACAAACATTTAAATTGATCAAATTTATCAGAAAAATGTAATAATTATAAACAC
Source organism: Homo sapiens (assembly GCF_000001405.40). NCBI lineage: Eukaryota > Metazoa > Chordata > Mammalia > Primates > Hominidae > Homo > Homo sapiens. Next base: position 1,569,288 of record NC_000006.12, on the reverse strand, counting down.
ATATGTACCTAATAATAGAGCCTCCTAAAAACATGAAGCAAAAACAGAAATGAAAGGAAAAATAGACAATTCAACAATAATAGTTGGAGACTTCAATATCCCACTTTCAGTAATGGCTAGAACAACAAAGCAGAAGGAAGTAGAAGAAGCAAGGAAGTAGAAGACTTGAGCAACACCATAAATCAACTAGGTCTTTGAAATACACATTTCACCCAAGAGCAAGATACACGTTCTTCTCGAATGCACATGGAACATTTGCCATAAGAGACCATATGCCAGGCAGTAAAACAAGCCTCAAGAAATTTTTTTAAAAAACTAAAATCCTATAAAGTATGTTCTCTGACTACAATAGAATGAAACTAGAACTCAATAACAGAAAGTTTGGGAAATTTACAAATATGTGGAAATTAAAAACACATCCCTATGTAACCAATACATCAATAAAGAAATCACAGGGGAAATTACAAAACACTTAGAGGCGAGTGAAAATGAAGATATAAGATGTTGAAACTTACGGGATGCAGCTAACGCGGTGTCTAGAGGGTATTCAATAGCTGTTAATACCTCTGTTAAAAAAGAAGAAAGATTTTAAATCACTAGCCTAGTTTTCCACCTTAAGACACTGAAAAAAGGAGAGTAAATTCAATCTAAAACAAGCAAAAGGAAGAAAGTAATAGAGATTAGGTCGGCTATTAACGAACCAGAAGAAAAACAACAGAGAAAGTGAACAAAACCAAAAGTTGTTTCTGTGAAAAGATCATCAAAATTGACAATTAGCTAGACTGACCAAGAAAAAGAAGACTCAAATTACTAACATCAGGAATAAAAAAGATGACAATTCTATTGACCTCACAGACATAAGAAGGATTATAAGGGAATACTATAAACATTTATATGCTAATAAATTCAAAAAACTTAGACGAAATGAACATGTTTCTAGGAAACTCAAACTACTAAAACTGAATCAAGAAGAAATAGATAACCTAAATAGACCCGTGAAAATGAAGAGGTTGAATTAGCAGTTTGAAAACTTCCCACGAAAATGGCCTAGGCCCAAAAGCCTTCACTTTTTAATTCTCCAAACATTTAAAATAGAGTTAATACAAATTATTTTTTTTTTTAAAGAAAAAGAATAGGAGGGAACAGTTACCAAGGTATTCTTTGAGGTCAGTATTACCCAGATACCAAAACCAAACAAAGACATCATAAAAGAAAGGAAAAAAAAATAGGAAATAGCCTTAAAAGGGCAAATCCAAGTGTTGTTGGCCTTGAAGAGGTGGTAGAGAGACAGGAGCAGAACGTTTATTCAAAGTGATAATAACGGAGGACTTTCCAAACCTAGAGAAAGATATTAATATCCAAGTAAAAGAAGGTTCTAGACCACCTAGCAGATTTAACCCGAAGAAGACGACCTCAAGGCATCTAATAATTCAATCATGAAGGTAAAGGATAAAGAAAGTTTCCAAAAAGCAGCAAGGGATAAGAAACAAACAACATACAATGGAGCTCCAATACATCTGGCAGCAGACTTTTCACTGAAAACCTTACAGGCCAGGAGAGAGTGACATAACATATTGAAAGTGCCTAAGGAAAAAAACTTTTACCCTAGATTAGTATATCCAGTGAAAATATCTTTCAGACACGAAGGAGAAGTAAAGGCTTTCCCAGACAAACAAAAGCAGAGGGATCTCAATACCAGATCTGTCCTACAAATAATGCCAAAGGGAGTTCTTTAATCTGAAAGAAAATAACATTAATGAGCAATAAGATGTCATCTGAAGGTACAGAACTCACTAGTAATAGCACACAGAAAAACACAGAATATTATAAAACTGTAATTGTGGTGTGTAAATTACTCATATTTTAAGTAGAAAGATGATAAGATAAACTGATCAGAAAAAATAACTACATCAACTTTTCAAGACATAGTGCAATAAGATATAAATAAAAACAACAAAAAGTTAAAAAGTCTGGGTGTAGTGGCTTACGTCTATAATCACAGCACTTTGGGAGGCCAAAGCAGGCAAATCGCTTGAGCCCAGGAGTTCAAGACCAGCCTGGGCAACATGGTGAAACTCTGTTTCTACAAAAAATTATAAAAAAATTTAGCTGGGTGTGGTGATGTGTGCCTGTAGTCTCAGCTACTCGGGAGGCTGAGGTGCGAGAATCACTTGAGCCCAGGAAGTCAAAGCTGCAGTGAGCTGTGATTGTCTGCACTCCAGCCAGGGCAACAGAGTGAGATACTGTCTCACAAAAAGAAAAAGGTAAAAAGAAGGGAGACAAAGTTGAAGTATAGAGTTTTTATTAGTTTTCTTTTTACTTGTTTGTTTATGCAATCGGTGTTGTCATCAGTTTAAAATAATGGATTATAAGATATTATTTGCAAGTCTATGGTAATCTCAAATCTAAAAACATACAACTGGTACATAAAAATAAGGAGCAAGAAAAGAAACAATTCCAGTTACAAAGAAGAACAAACTAGAAGGATTCACACTTTCTTTTCTTTTTTCTTTTGAGATGGAGTCTTGCTCTTGTCGCCCAGGTTGGAGTGTAATGGCACGATCCTGACTCACCGCAACCTCCGCCTCCCGGGTTCAAGTGATTCTCCTGCCTCAGCCTTCCGAGCAGCTGGGATTACAGGCCTGTGCCACCATGCCCAGCTAATTTTGTATTTTTAGTAGAGATGAGGTTTCTCCATGTTGGTCAGGCTGGTCTCGAACTCCTGACCTCAGGTGATCTGCCTGCCTTGGCTTCTCAAAGTGCTGGGATTACAGGTGTAAGCCACTGTGCCTGGCTAATTTTGTATATTTTTAGTAGAAATTTTTTGTATTTTTAGTAGAAATATTGGCCAGGCTGGTCTCAAACTCCTGACCTCAGGTGATGCACTCGTCTCGGCCTCCCAAAGTGCTGGGATTACAGGTGTGAGCCACAGAGCCAGGCCAGGACTCACACTTTCTGAAATCTAAATAGCTGCAAAAGAATGAAATGCTTAGGAATAAACTTACAAAAGAAATAAAATACATATATTGAAACTACAAAATGTTGTTGAAAAAGACCTGAATAAATGGAATGACATCCTGTGTTTATGGATCAGAAGATTTAATATTTTAAAATGCTAATACCTCCTCCCAAACTGACCTACCAACTCAAAGTGATTTGTATCCTAATCCCAGCTGACTTGTTTGTAGAAATTGACAAACTGGTTCTCAAATTCATATGGAAATTCAAAGGATCCAGGATAACCAAAGCGTTCTTGAAAAAGAAAAACAAAATTGAAGGACCCACACTTCCTGAATTCAAAACTTATTACAGAGCTTGTGCCTTATGCACCAGGATCCATTCCTTCAAAGCTGGCCTTGAGCAGATAGTTCTTCTCCTTTCTAGTGCTCTTCAATTCTCTGCTGCAGTTTTATGTTTCTGTCTGTGACAATTTTTCTTCAACCCAAGAACTTCCTTTAGCATTTTTTATACTGCCAGTGTGCTGATGATAAATTCTCTCAGCTTTTGTTTTTCAGTAAAGTGTCTTTATTTCACTTTTAATTTATTTTCTTTCTTTTCTTTTCTTTTCTTTTTTTTTTTTCCTTAGTCAGGGTCTTGCTCATGTCACCCAGGCTGCAGTGCAGTGGTGGGATCATAGCTCACTGTAACCTTGAACTCCAGGACTCAAGTGATCTTCCACCTCAGCCTCTTGAGTAGTTGGGACTACAGGCACATGCCACCATGCCCTGCTAAGTTTATGTTCTATTTTTGGAGAGATGGAGTATTGCCCAGGCTGGTCTCAAACTCCTAGCCTCAAGCAATCCTCCTGCCTCAGCCTCTCAAAGTGCTCAGATTACAAGGCATGAGCCATCATGTCCAACCATATTTCACCTTAATTTGCAAATAACATTTTTACTGGGTATAAAATTCAAGGTTGGCCGTTTCCTTCAGCACTGTAAAGATGTCATTCTATTGTCTTTTGGTTTCCAGTTTCTGTTGAAAAGTCAGCCATCAGTTTTATTGCTGCTCCTTTGAAGGTAATGTGTCTTCTCTTCCTGTGATTGTCACTTTTCTCAGGTTTTTCAGTAGTTTGACTATAGGATGGTAGGCGTGTTTCCTTTGATTTATCCTGCTTTGGGTTTCTGAGATTTTAAAATCTGTGCGTTGATGTCTTCTCATAAATTTTGGAATATTCTTGGCCATTATATCTTCTGCCCCATGTATTGCTTCTTCTCTGGTCTCTTGCTCTTCCTCTTCTAGGACTTTGGTTACGTATATATTGTGTTTTAAAATTATATCCTCAACATGCCTTCTTTTTCTTCTCTGTGCTTCAGTGTATATATTTTCTATTTGTCTCTAACTTGACTTCTTTTGTTTCCAGCCTTTTATGATACCCACCTGAAATTAAGAAATTAAGATTCTTAATTAAAGATAGTTTTTCAGTTTTATCATGTTGACTTGATTGTTTTGTATAGATTCCAATTCTCTGTTGATTTCCATTCATCTTTTCCTCTACTTTCTGTTGATTTCTGTTCATCTTTTCCTCTACTTTCTTTAATATAATGTTATGTATTTGAATATCCTTCCCTTCTAATTCCAAACCCTGTATTTTTGGTAAGTTTGCCTCTATTGTTCATTTTTGTCTTGATTTTTGATCATACCTTCCTGTCTCTTTGTTGTTGTGTGCTTACACACAAAATAACTACACCAGCTCCATATGATTTTTTAAAATCAGGAATGGTCTTCATTTTCTTTTCTTTTCTTTTTTTCTTTTTCTTTTTTCTTTTGAGATAGAGTCTCACTCTGTCGCCCAGGCTGGAGTGCAGTGGCATGATCTTGGCTCACTGCAAGCTCCACCTCCCGGGTTCATGCCATTCTCCTGCCTCAGCCTCTGAGTAGCTGGGACTATAGGTGCCCGCCACCACGCCTGGCTAATTTTTTTTTTTTTTTGTATTTTTAGTAGAGACAGGGTTTCACCGTGTTAGCCAGGATGGTCTCGATCTCCTGACTTCGTGATCCGCCTGCCTCGGCCTCCCAAAGTGCTGGGATTACAGGCATGAGCCACCGCACCTGGCCAGTCTTCATTTTCTTCTGTGTAGCATCCTATGATTACCTAAATGAAAAGGGGATCTGAGCTGGGCTGGGACTAGGTTGCAGTTTTAGTAAAACTTGGTTCAGCTCTGGTTAATCCCTATTCCTTGGCTGTGGTCCTTTTAGGCTTTGAATTGAGCCTAGCTATTCTTTCTCTCTTCAGCCTTAGACTTTTTGTCATTCCAAGGTTTTAGCTTAGTTTTTTACCCTCTGCTGCTAGATGTAGCTTCAAAATCTGACAAACATGTTGTAATGAAGACCTGTTGTTTCCTTATTCTAGGCTCCTTCTCTCTAGCAGGACATTATCTTCACAGCACTCTGAGACTGTGGAAGATTTTACTCTGTCTTTCTGGCCAGACTCCGCAGTCTTCTACACCACCCCTGCATTCAGCCAATGACTAATGAGGAAAGCCAGCTTTGCATTTGGCCCTCTCTCACTTCCAATTCTTTGGGCTGGTTTGATGCAACTGCCAAAAGCTCTTATGGCATCTCCTTACCTGAGCCTAGCACCTCTTTTTGGGGTCAGAGTTGGCAAATGCTCCCAGGAAAAAAAAAAATGGCCAGTGACCCTTGGATTACCTTGAAAGGACTTCTTTCTTATTTGAAATTTATTTCATCTAATTATTGTTGCTTTTGCGTCTCTCCAGTGCCTTTAGAAACATGATCATTCCAATTTAGCTTTTCAAATTGCAGCAGAAATGCTGCCTTTCCTGATCTCCTATATTGTACTCAAATTTTTTGATTTTTAATTACAACTCTCTTGGGTTTCGTGTGTTGTTTGAACATGAGAAACCACTTGATGAAGATGACTGTACATTACACAGAGAACTGGAGTTTCATTGAGTACATTTCATGTAGGCATGAGCAAGAAGAGTACGGATATCAGGAAGCTAAAGGGGTGGACTATAGTTGACACAGTTGATTGTCTTCTCAGGATTTATCCCTTGCTTCTTTCCTCTTAAGAGGAAAGTTCAGGCATCTACCTTCCCATGTGGTATTCGCTTTCATATGACTTATGGGAAAGCTAATTCTCTACTTAGCTTTATGGAGTGGATCTAATTGGTATAAGTATAATCTCATCTCTATTGCTAATGATTTAGTTAAGGAAAGCATAGGTATTCCCATGGTTTGGGATGGATGGATTTTTGACACTACCTTTGCATGTGGGAGATTCTCACCTGGGAAAGGTGGAAAACAACAAAGTTATGAGGTTTTATAATTTAGTTTCTAAAGCAGCATCAGAAGCTGAATAATGTTTAGCTTAAGCAGCTCAGTGATCTCAATGTTGTTCCAACATGTGGCATCATATGCCCCAAGTAGCCTCTTAAGGCAAAGTGTATCTGTTTATGTGTGATCCAGTCCCTGATCATTCGCATGAAAGCGAATAAGGCCTCATTGTAATGCAAGGTATTAGATCCCTTTGCAACTCATAGTGCCATAAATCAGAGCCCTGTGGTTGACTTGGCCCTTCAGTTTCATCTGCAATAACAATTGAAGCTCTGTCTTCAGAACTGAACTGGATACATAGCTAAAGTCAACCCAGGGAGTGACTGCTTTTCTCTGGCATTATATCTTCATTTCCCCCATAATTCATTTGAACAGGAATTTCTGTGGCTTAAGCCAAGAAATAGCAGCCCATTCACATTTGTAAATGCTCCTGCATAGCTATAATTATATCTTTAATAATTGGGCCCTAGCAATGTTTTAGTTTTATGCCCATCAGTATTTCATGCTTAAATGAATGAAAAGTTTCATATTTTCATTTCTTCCTTCAACAAACATTGACTGGTCATTTGCTATTTCAGGCACTGTGTTGGGAGTAAGCAATGTGGAGTCATCTCTTCCCCCAGAGAAACGCTGACAAGTATTAGCTCACAGACATGTGTGCACAAAGATGGATGCTCACAGTTGTCCGTTGGAGCACTGTTTGAAGCAGCAAAAGGAACCAATTCAACTTTCCCTGAGTAGGAAAATGGCTAAATAAATGGTAACTTATTCACAGAAGGGAATATAATACAGCTGTTAAAATCATGAAAAAAGGTACATATTATACCATGAATAAATCTCAAAAACATCAGTTCTAAAAAAAAGAAAGTAGCTAAAGTATCCACCCAGCCTGATACCATTTACATAGACCTTAAAGATCCAATACATGCAATAGTATATCTTGATCAGGAATTTGTATGTGTGAAATAAAATTACAAAAACATGCTGTAAGATGGGCATTTCCTCTGAAAAGGAAAGCATGAGGGAAGTATGGGGGTGAGGCTTTATCTGGTCGGTAACATTACTTTTTTTAAAGAAGAAAGATGAAGCCAAATAGACAAACTATCAATTTTTGCTTAATTTTGGTGGTGGGTACTTAAGTGTCAGTTATATATTTTTTTCTGCATGAAATATTTTAACATGAAAACAACATTTAAATAAAAAACACAGAGGCATTATCTGTGAGTATAATAGCTCACATTTTAGTGAGGAAGAGAAACAAGCAAACTAAGAGTGGTTTGATAAATGCTGATAACACAAAAGACAGGGCAGCTGCTGGCAGCTCCGCCTGGGGGCTTGGGAGGACCTGTTGGAAGAGGTAATGGTTGACTGAAATGTTGAAAAGCCGCATGGAGTTAGGAGGACAGGTTGGAGAGGAACATCCCAGGAAGAGAACAGAGCCATTGTTGATATCTCCATAATGGTAGAATAATAACACACATTACTAAAAATTTATCTTGCTAACCAAGGCCAAGACTCCCCTGGGTTGGAGATAAGATAAGCTCCCCTTTCAGCAGCATCAGAGGCTGCTCAGGGCCTGTGACATACCCTTGGAGAAGAATCCTCCATATGCAAAGTGGTCTAATGGTTAACTTCTAAAAGAAAATAGCTGAATCTGATGGCACTATGGGCCAACTACCACTTCTAAGAACTTTACCTGTTTTGACTCACTTAAACAGCCCCCTGAGGAAGGTACTATTATAGTCATCCAATTTACAGATGGGGAAACTGAGGCACAGAGAAGTGAAATAATTTGCTCCCAGATACTCAGCTATAAGGGGCAGAGCCAAGATTTAAACCCAGACAGTCTGGCTTTACAGTCTCATGCAAGGTCCCCAGAAGGTCTCTCTCCTGGGTCCTGAGATATTACATTGCCTGGGCTCTCAATACAGCATTGAGCTTAGCTGCCTTGGTTCCAGGCCCTCGCCTTCTGGATTCAACCCAGCTACAAAAACCCTCAGCCCTGACTGTTCATTCAATGCCTGGCTCCCAATTTCCAGCAAGCCCTTTCTGCCTTGACTCCATCTGCCCCGGCTCTTGAGCTGCTCATGCCTGAACCCCATCCCATGCCTGCCCCACGCCCTCTCCTGCCTCCTGTCTTACAGCTTGCCATCCTGCCCACCTGAGGCTCTGCCTACTGACATGCTATTCCCAGGACAAGACCAGCTTCCAGGACAAGCACTGCACTCAGAAGCCATGTCATTCAAATCAGGGGCAGGCTTGTTAGGGTCAAAAATGGTCCAAATTCTGGGGATGTCATTTGAAAAAAGACTGTTTTCAGGAAACAATCTTCCTATCTGTGGTGATTTTAAAAATATAGTTCTCAAATTGTGTGTAGGAAAGGAAAGTAGCAATATGGGTGCAGGAAGAGCATGACTGTGTGGATAAAAAGATGATGTATGCACATGAACATGCAGAACTGAGAACTCAGGTTAAGTTACAGCAAGATATGGCAGGTACTGTGGTTTGAATGTGTTCCCCAAAGTTCCTGTGTTGGAAACTAAATCTTCAATGCAACAGCAGGACCTTCAAGAGGTGATTGGGTCATGAGAGTTCTGCACTCGTGAATGGATTAATGTCAACATCATGTGAGTAATAGGTTTAATAATTGGGCCCTAGTGATGTTTTAGTTCTATGCCCATCACTATTTCATGCTTAAATGAATGAAAAGTTTCATATTTTCATTTCTTTCTCCCCTATCTTTCTCATGCACACATGCACTCTCTTTCCCTTCCATCTTTCACACCATGGGACAACACAGCAAGAAGCCCCTTGCCAGAAGCAAGCCTCATGACTTAGGACTTTCCAGCCTCCAGAATTGTAAGAAATAGATTTCTGTACTTCATATAAAAAAGTATGATGTGATTGATGCTTTATATGTGCTTCTCTTGCCACTCTTTACAATAACTTCATAAGTCAGTCATTATTGTTCCTATTTAATAAATGATATAATTATGGTATAAATAGCTTGCCCAAGATCACATAGTTCACAGGCAGTGGGTCTTCCACAGAAATCTGTTAGGCTGTAAATTTTGTGCTCTTTCCGTTAGACCATGCAAGACTTTGTGTATCCTCCCTACTAAGAAATTGCACAGAAAAAAGACATCCTTATTCATAGTAGTTAGAAATGGCATAACTGAGACACCTTTTCAAGGGGAAGAGCAAATCATAAAGCTGAACAACCTCAGAAGAGGTTACAGTGAATCTTATGAAGGACCTAGATACAATTATCAGCTTACACAAAGTACAGGGGACTTTTCAATGAAATCACCAGCATGCAATCAGGAAATTCAGATCATAGAAAACACTGTAGGACAAATGACCTGATTTCTTCAACAAATGCATTACAAGGAAAAAGAAAGAGAGAGAAACTATAGATTTAAAATGTGCTAAGAAACATGTAAGCCAACTATTATGCATGGGCTTTTGGCCTGATTTGAACAGAACATAAAAAGAAATGATGAAATGATTGATTTAAACACTGACAGGAAATTTGATGATGTTAATAAATTGCTGTTACTTTGTTTTAGGTGTGATAATTATAATATAGTTGTGCTTTTTTTTAAAGAGTCATTATATTTTAGAAATACCTACTGAAATATTTTGCATGAAATGATATATCTTGTTTTACTTCAAGGTAACTGAGGGAGGGAGGAATTAGATAAACGTATATATAAATAATACATGACAATGTATTGGTAACTGTTGAATTATGTGAAGGCTATGGGAGGAATTATTATAATATTCTCTCTACTTTTTATATATTTTTCAGCTGGGCATGGTGGCTCACACCTGTAATCCCAGCACTTCGGGAGGCCCAGGTGGGCGGATCACCTGAGGTCAGGAGTTTGAAACCAGCCTGAGCAACATGGTGAAACCCCATCTCTACTACAAATACAAAAATTAGCTGGGTGTGGTGGCTTGCATCTGTAATTCCAGCTACTAGGGAGGCAGAGGAAGAAGAACTCCTTGAACCTGGGAGGTGGAGGTTGTGGTGAGCCAAAATCACATCACTGCACTTCAGCCTGGGCAAAAAAGCAAGACTCTATCTCAAATATATATATATTTTTTTTTCAATAAAAAGCTAGAAAAATTGGAGAGGTATATCAGGCTGTTCTTGCATTGCTATGAATAAAGAAAAGATGTTTAATTGGCTCATGGTTCTGCAGGCTGCAGAGGAAGATACACAGGTATCTGCTTCTGGGGAGGCCTCAGGAAGCTTCCAGTCATGGTAGAAGGTAAAGAGGGAGCAGATGTCTCACACGGTGGGAGCAGGAGCAGGGGGCGGGGAGGTGCCACACGCACTTTTAAACGACCGGATCTTGAGAGAACTCACTCACCGTCACGAGAATAGCACCAAAGGAATGGTGCTAAACCACGCATGAGATATCCTCTCCCGTGACTCAGGCCCCACCTCCAACAATGAGGATCACATTTCAACATGAGATTTGGGCGGGGACACAGATCCAAACCACCCAAACAGAGGCAATAAAGACTACCTAGTCTAACTGTCTTGACGCTGCCTGAACCCCCTTGGTGGAATGACAATTACATAAAAGCCTGAACTCATTCATTCTCCCACTCTCTTAAACTTATTATTCTTTCAAAGTTTAGTTTATTTGTTTGTTTGTTTGTTTGAGTAAACTATCATGGTGGAGAAAAGAAAGCTTAATTTCCTTGGGAACACTGTCTTGGAATGGGAAATCTTTTTGTTATATGGCATTGTAAAGCTTAAATCTTTCACATGTAAAAATTATGTAGCCCTCGTTTTTCATTTTCAGGGGAAGCATAAAGACTTCATGATCCATTTAGACTTAATTTAACCTGACATAAATAAATGCTGAAATGTTTCATTATGAGTTAAGTTGAAATATAGTCTAAATTTATTTTTTATATTCATTAATTTTAATTTTAATTTTTTTTGTTGTTGTTTTTGAGACAGAGTCTTGCTCTGTCGCCCAGGCTGGAGTGCAGTGGTGTGATCTTGGCTCATTGCAACCTCTGCCTCCTGGGTTCAAGCAATTCTCCTGCCTCAGCCTCCTGAGTAGTTGGGATTACGGGCGTGCACCATCACACCTGGCTAATTTTTGTATTTTTAGTAGATACAGGGTTTCCCATGTTGGCCAAGCTGGTCTCGAACTCCTGACCTCAAGTGCTCCGCCCACCTCTGCCTCCCAAAGTGCTGGGATTACAGGTGAGCCACCGCACCTGGCCTATAGTCTCAATTGATAAGTTAATTGTAAAACTCTGGGAATAACTCACTGTAGAAAGGTCTTCAGTATGAACTAAATTTTAAAAACTCTTTTATCTGAGCACATTGGTGTTATTTGGCTTTGCAACCATCATTCTTATTTCTCATTTACTGACTGTCGATTACATACAGGTCTAAGGGAAGAATAATGTGCCTGATTAATTAATTAAAGGCAGTTATTAAAAGAAAACAATATAATGCCAAGCATAATGGTGCCGGGTTGGACCCCTGGGCTCCTTTACCTCGGGCCCAGTAACTATCATCTATAAGCCTCAGTGTACTCAGGTGGAAAATGGAGGCAATTTCAGTCCCTACCTTCCACAAAGCTGTGAGAGATTCCATGTAATAATACATTCCTGGCACATAGAATATGCTCTACATGTACTAGCTCTTATTCATTCCTGGGATCCCTGTGTGTATTATAACGATAATATGGGCTGGGTATGGTGGCTCATGCCTGTAATTCCAGGACTTTGGGAGGCCAAGGCAAGAGGATAGCTTGAGATCAGGAGGTTGAGGCTGCAGTGAGCTAGGATTGATGCCACTGCACTCCGGCCTGGGCAACAGAGTGAGACCCTGCCACAAACAAACAAACAAACAAACAAACAAACAATCAAACAAAAAAAAGATAATACAGGCACCATGCAGCAGCTATAGAGAATGTGGAAGACACGGCCCAGGCTTCTGGTTATCATCTGAGTTGAAGAGCAAGAGCTCACTCTGCACGGCACTTGCTATGTCTGAGGTCATGTGTGACGAGGTGAGAAACTGCGTCCTGAGCGGCCTCCAGCACCAATCAGCCACACCAAGCCTGCAAGTCCCTGAAAGGAGACTTTTGTTTAAAATGAAATTCCACATGTTTCAGGGCAGGAAATTGAAATAGTGTCTCTGAAAATGATGAAAAGAAGGGATTTTAAACATGCACATATGTACATACTTTAGGTAGCAGTAAAGATACTTTTAGTCACAGAAGCTTACCAAATTTTAAGGACTGCAACATTTTTTAAAGGAGGATACCAAAAATGTGTCTGGACCTCTCCCTTTAAGTAAACGTAATTGGGAGCACCTCTTCTGGCTGAATGTGACCTTCGCATACAATTTTGTTTGCCTTTCCAACGGTTCTCAGCGTTTGTCTTTCTTAACTGCAGGAGGAGTAGGAAGCTATTGTCATTCTAGATGCCCATCGTTTGTTTTTCCAACGTCTTGTAAGAGAGAATATACTTCAGGATGGTTAATACTTACGATGTTCCCGGTTTGTAGGCTCCATCAGCTTTGCCATGTAGGTGGGGACTTCTTTTGGGAATTCTCAACATTGACCCAGTGGCCAATAATAGATATGCTGAGCATGTCTACAAATGCAGCTTTTATCATTTATGGCCAGAATATGTTTACGTTCTTTTAATATCTGGTTGATTCCTAGTGAAAAGCATTTTATGCATATGTGAATGCAAAACATAACAAAAAAGTGTATAATGCAATCCACTCATTAAAAGAAAGCCCAGCTGAAGTAAGAACAGGAACAGGTCTATGTCCTTGGCAAGTTTGCCAACCTTCCCATTAAGGAATCTCTTCGGATTACGTTTTAGTTCGAAATCTTAAATGCTGATTCGGGGACATGTCACACAAGTTGTTAGAGAAAGCGTTGGTTTTATTATTCAAAGAATATTGAGTTTTGGAAATGACACATAGACACAAATGACACAAATGACAATTGACCAACTAGTTTGCCTTGCATTTTTTTTTTTTTTTTTTTTGAGACGGACTTTTTCACTCCTGTTGCCCAGGCTGGAGTGCAATGGCACTATCTCAGCTCACTGCAACCTCCGCCTCCCTGGTTCAAGCGATTCTCTTGCCTCAGCCTCCCGAGTAGCTGGGATTACAGGCATGCGCCACCACACGCGGCCAATTTTGTATTTTTAGTAAAGACGGGGTTTCTCCACGCTGGTCAGGCTGGTCTCGAACTCCTGACCCCAGGCGATCCGCCCGCCTCAGCCTCCCAAAGTTCTGGGACTACAGGCATGAGCCACCGCGCCCGGCTGCCTTGCATTTTTATTTTAATTTTGTAAAATGTATTAAAACGTAGATGATGTTAATTGCCAATTATTATCTCTTTTCATTTTCTAAAGTGGTTGACGCTGCTGTCGAAGTTGGATGATATTGCTCACGGAGGAGGCTTCTGAGAAGGGCATAAATGGGTTTTAAAAAAGCAGTGAATTGGAATGGGAATGGCAGATAAAGAGAAACACATTTTCTGCATTTTCTAATGATTACTCACATAGTTGAGCCTTGCACGTTATATTTATTAGAACGACCACCCCCCATTTAGTTTTCCTTTGAAGAGTCTTTCTTGTAAACCGTGGGTGCGTGTGTGTTTGCGTCCCGATCTGCCAGGGCTGGGCGCCAAGTGCAAAGTGCGCAGCCGCGAAGTGGAGTCGGCGCCGGCGGGAGCGCGGGGCTCAGGGCCAGGGCCCGCCTCCAGGGGGCGGTGTGCGCCCCCGGCGCTGGAGCAGCCGCGTTTCGGGGACCCGGGCAGGCGTGGGGGGCTGCGCTGAGCTCCAGGCCTCCTGCAGGTAGGGATGCTTTGCTGACAGATTCGGGCGTCCTCCCCTGAACGAATGTCCTGGCGGGGCGTGCCCAGCCACCATCCAGCTTCAGAGGCAATGGCCGGGCGTCGTGAGAAGGGGAGGGAGAAGGAAGCGGAAGAGAGAGAGTTGGAAAGACTAGAGGAAGAGGTGGCCACGTCTTTTGCCATCCCAGCTTTAAACTGCAGTGTTTAAGGCCTCGTCTGCCCTGCTAAGGTCACCGAACTTTTTACTTTATGTGAAAAGTGCTTCCCAAGGGAGGCACAGGGACTCCGGTTCTGAAACCGATTAATGGTCTTAGAGCCCCCAGTAAGCCGTTACCAAAGTGTCCGGGTCACAGTTGCAGAGGAAGTGAGAAGCGTGTTCGACCTCATTTGAAACGGCTTCACAGAGGGTAAACCTCAAGTTGATTTTGTAAAAAGGAAAGCCTGTGGTTTGGCCGAGAAGAATAAATAATATATTCTAGATCCACGTGTAGTGACTTGGTTTGGGAAAAAAGAATCCACAGGGAGAGGAACAGCGCAGAGGGTTCTGTGGTCTATCGCCCAGGCTGGCTTGCAGAGAACGGAATTCAATCTAGTTAGTTTAAGCAGAAAGGGATTTGCGGCAGGATATTAAGTGGTTTACAGACTCTTTGGGAAGACTGAAGGATCAGATTCCAGACTGATCTTTTAAGAACACGACCCAAAGCCACCCTGAAGAACTAAAGAATCTAATGCCCCTCCTCGAATTCAGCAGACACCAGTGGCGTAGGGAAACGGTGGCCACAGCTGCTAGCCCCAGAACCATGCCACCTGCCCGGGTCGGAAACCACCATGACAGGCAATTGATATAGTCAAGAAACTCCCCCAAGCCGAAAGCTACTGCTAGTGCTGCCAACTCTAAAACCGTGACACCCCTGGCATAACCCACACCAGCAAATAGGTTCCCTGGGCAGTGCTTTTTAATACTCCACAAAGCCAGTAAGTAGACACTGAGACCTCTCCTCCCGCTTTCAGAGCGAAACCAGGTACCTTCACAATGGTGCTTGTCAGCAGAATATTAGAAACATGCCTTCCTAATCTCGCACTAATTCTCCTGAATAGTGGAATCTAAATCACCGTAGAACCCTAGATGCAAGGGAGTTGGGGAAATATAGTAAAAACTCCAGCGTCCCAGCTCCTACAATACATGAAGGCATGCTAGGATGATGTCAGCATGGTTGCTGGTGACTCAATCCGCAGTTCCCATCACAGTCCTCCACCTGGTTACTCAACTCCCATGCACTCCTCTCTTCTCATACGTACACTTCCAAATGGCAATGATTCCCCCTGCAGTAAAACATGGAACTCACTTTCTTCCCAAAATGGGGAAGTGCCATGAGCCACTGCATCCTGCTGTCACGGAGGTTCTATGTTCTAGATTCTGTCCTGGTGTTCATTCGAGTTCAGTCATAATCCTCCCTTGATATCTTATAACCCGTAGACCTAATTATAAAGTCACATCTTATATAAAACACATCCAATATAAAATGTTAAGGGAAACGGGGAGGACAAATATAAATTGACTAGGATAGAGAAAAGAAGGAAAACAATGCTATTACAGTCCTCATTTTTCCAAGGCTTGTGAGTCTGAGGTTGGACTGTTGAGCATCCTTGCTTTATCCTGGCATGTATTTCCTTTCACCATATCCGGCGCCTCTGCTGGTTAGTGCTCTTTATCTAGTGGAGCAATCTAAGTCTTTTTTCCTGAGAGGTCCTATTTCTGTGTGGTCTTTCTTGTATTGAGATGCTGTAGTCTTCCACCAACTCTGTGATTGGACATACAGCCTTGCCTATGATTTTCCTTGAGGGGTTCTGCAGTGGCATATTCTGGCAGTGGTATGTTCAGTCTTACATTTTTAAAATAAGACCTAACATTTTAAAATAAGACACCATCGTATCCTGATTGGCTATGGATGCTTCCAGCACTATTAGATCTGTTACGGATCCAAGTGGTGGTAAAGCTGCTTGCACATGGCCTGAAATTTTTGTTTTTGTTTTTTAAGACAGTCTCTCTCTGTCACCCAGGCTGGAGTGGCACAGTGGTGCAACCATACCTCACTGCAGCCTTCAACTCCTGGGGCTCAAGAAATCCTCTTGCCTCAGCATCCTGAGAAGCTAGGACTATAGGTGTATGCCACCATGCACCCAGCTAATTAAAAAAAATTTTTTTTGAGACAGAGTCATGGTTTTTTTTTGCCCAGGCTTGTCTTGAACTTCTGGGTTCAAGCGATCCTACTGCCTTGGCCCTCACAAAGTGCTGGGATTATAGGCATGAGCTACCATGCCTGGCCTGCCCTGGGATTTTCTCAAAGCTGGCAGACTAATGGGTTATTCAGAATATGGGTCAGAGCTGCACACACACCCACATACACACACACACACACACACACACACACACAGTACATATTGGTTCCCCAATCCAGAGTCGTATCAAGTGCTATAGCTCTTTATTAGCAGTAGGGGGTGCAAGATTCAGAGAGATATCCCATCGCTCACCAGATCACTGGGCACAGCAATTCTGCTGAGAGAGCAGGTTCTTGAATTCTTGTGACACAACATTCCACTCTTTGGCACACATGTAGGCACATAATGTACTTGTTTCCGCTCACTAGGTGCAATAAGAATCGTATTACTAATGTGGTGTCCTCTGGAATGGTCACATGAACACAGTTCCCTGCAGATGTAATTGGGAGAGAAGGCACAGTCCTGACACAGGGTAAGACTGTGGAGGTGTATTGCTGTCCCTACCAGGTAAAATAATATTGCTTCTGGTGGTTTTATTGGGAAAGAGACAACACATTTACCAAACTGATAGCTGCATATTGGGTGCTGGGGGCTGTGTTGATTTGCTACAGTCATAAAACTATGTCTAGAACAAAAGCTGCAATGGAAGCCATCTATTGACTAAATTAACAGTGAACCCTTATTATCCTCCAACAGCCATATGTGTTCTACATAGGTGAAGCAGGGGAGTTAAGTGGCCGTAATAGGAAATGTCATCTCTACATCTTTTTTGTTTGTTTGTTTTGTTTTTTTTTTTAGACAGAGTCTTACTCTGTCGCCCAGGCTGGGGGGCAGTGGCGTGATCTTGGCTCACTACAAGCTCTGCCTCCTGGGTTCATCCCATTCTCCTCCTCAGCCTCCCGAGTAGCTGGAACTACAAGTGCCCGCCACCAAGCCCGGCTAATTTTTTGTATTTTTAGTAGAGACAGGGTTTCACTGTGTTAGCCAGGATGGTCTTGATCTCCTGACCTCATGATCCACCTGCCTCGGCCTCCCAAAGTGCTGGGATTACAGGCATGAGCCACCACGCCCGGCCATCTCTACATCTTTCAAGTCTTTGGCAGTTCATTCAGGGATGTGATGTTGCTTTTGATAACTCTTGATAGGAAGAAGTGGTTCCAGGGTTTTCCACTTGCTCCTTCTTACCTAAATAGTCCTCACTTCCTGGGCCAGGGATGAGTGTGGGGATTCTGTAGCTGGGTGTTTCTGCATACATTCATAGAGTTTCTGCATAGAGAGTGCTCTGCATTCAGAAACCCAGGAAATGCTACAGGATAAGTTTATAGACCTACAAGGTACATCATGAGAAGCACGTGAGCCAAAACTCCACTTATCACTTGACTCCTATAACCCCAACTCTGAAAGCAGAGTTCAAGCAACTGTTGCGTCACCTCTTGCTACAGAGCACCAGGGTCCCACCTTCTGATGTGAATGAGACCTCCTGTGCTTCAAGCCCAGCCAAGTCAGATAACTTAGTGGTCTTCAAATTTTTTTCTGCATACACTCCTGAAGACAATTTAGAAAAAATTTAGAAAAATAATGTACCCTTCACCCACTTTTTTTTTTTCTGAGATGGAGTCTCACTTTGTTGCCAGGATAGAGTGCAGTGGCAGGATCTTGGCTTACTGCAACCTCTGCCTCCTGGGTTCGAGCAATTCCCCTGCCTCAGCCTCCCAAGTAGCTGGGACTACAGGCATGCGCCACCACTCCTGGCTAATTTTTGTATTTTTAGTAGAGACAGCGTTTCACCATGTTGGCCAGGATGATCTCAATCTCCTGACCTCACCTTCACCCACTTTTTAACTTGACATCTCACCTTTTCCTGATAAGTGTAAATAGTTGAAATGGATCACAGAACATTAGAAGTTTAAAAAAAGCTAACATGACAAAACCTAAGAAAGAGATCTTTTTATTGAAGATCTGCCTGATTCATCTCTATTATGTTTTTACGTAGACTGGCTTCTGGTTGTGTACATTTCCAACCTTATTTCTTCTCTACTGTCCACACATTCATGGTGCTGGTCACCACAGAAAATGAATATCACAGCATGACTTCTGGTCCTCAGGACCGTGGGCAGAGGGAGTATTTCTAGAAATCATTTTTACACTAGAGGGGCTAGCAATAACATAATCATATGTGGAAGTTACTGCACCAGTAAATACATCCTCTGAAACCCCAACTAACTTGTTTATCCCAATTCAATTAGTGGACTTTCAAAAGCACCCATGGCCACTGCAATGCCACCACACATGGGGAGAAGAAAGACAAAGGGGAGTGTAAAAAGAGGTATTAATCCTTAAGGTTGAAAGGTCTTACTCTTGTAAATTTTACTAAAATATGTGACCCAGAAGAGCCATTTCTAGGCCTTGGGGGTGGCCTGTGCTAGTGAAAGCCTCTGAAGATTGGGGTTTGTTAGCTACGGGGTGAATCTACCGCTGCACTGTCAATAGGGACATTATGATAAAAATGTCATGTAACTTTGTGAAAAGTATCCATGGAGCCTAAACACTATAATGACATGCTATCCATCATCATTTACTTTGAAATATTTGAACAATCTCTTTAATTTTCGAAAATTTTTCAAAATTTTGAAAATTTGTCTTTTTACTCTTGAACATATAAAGTTCCATTTCACTTTCTTCTTAGGATTCCTTCATAATGTAATGTGTGTGTGTGTGTGTGTGTATGTATATATATATTTTTAGACAGGGTCTCACTCTGTTGCTCCAGCTGAAGTACGTAGTGCAATCACAGCTCACTGCAGCTTTGAACTCCTGGGCTTAAGCCATCCTCCCACCTCAGCCTCCTGACCAGCTGGGGTTACAGACATGTGCCACCACACCCAGCTAATTGCTTTTTCATTTCTTTTGTAGAGATAGAGGGTCTCACTGTGTTTCCCACGCTGGTCTCGAACTCCTGGTCTCAAACAGTCCTCCCATCTCAGCCTCCCAAAGTGCTGTGATTATAGGTGTGAGCCACTGTGCCCAGCCTAATGTATATTTTTAACAGCTTTATTAAGATATAATTTATCTATTGTACAATTCACATAAGTAAAGTGTGCTATTGAATGGCTTTTAATATATTCACAGACTTTTACATCGTGACCACAATATATGTTAGAACATTTTTATTTCAAAAGAAGCCCTACACCCCTCAGCTATCACCCCGGCAATTGTTCCATCTCCCTCAACCCCACCCAGTTCTAGGTCACCATTAATTCACTTTCTGTCTCTATGGAGTTGCTCACTCCAAGCATTTATATGTAAATGGAATCATGCAGTATGCTATCCTTTGAGACTGGCTTCCTTCAGTTACAAGGTTCATCCTATACTTACGCTTGAAACATTTATTAATCACCCTTTTCTGCAACCAAAAATGTATGTGAATCGAAATTGTAAAGTGTTCTTTATTTCCTGCCACCAAAAGACTTTAGGAATTTAAAGTATTTTCTGGGTCATGATTACAATGGTTGTTATCATGCAACTTATGAAAACAACATAAATGTTATAAACGTTGCTAAAAAAATTGTGTTAATTCAAAGAGTGAAATTTTATTGGAAATGTCTCACTTACATGATGAGTTTTTAAAATTTTCTCTGTCTTTCTCTCTCTCGGGATCTCACTTTGCTGCCCAGCCTGGAGTGCAGTAGTGTAATCTCGGCTCACTGCAGCCTCAAACTTCTGGGCTCGAGCGATCCTCTCACCTCAGCCTCCTGAGTAGCTGGGACTACAGGTGCGTGCCACCATGTCTAGGTAATTTTTAAAGTTTTTTTGTAGAGATGAGGCCTCCCTATGTTGCCCAGGCTGGTCTCAAACTCCTGGGGTCAGGAGATGCTCCCAAAGTGCTGGGATTACAGGCATGAGCTACTACGCCCAGCTGGAATTTCCTTATTTTAAAAATGTATGACTGAATCTACCACCGCCAGAATCTACCACTGCCAGATGGTTCTGCCTGGATTCTTTTCCTACTTTTTGTGCTTCGTAGGTATAATTGCTGGAAAGCCTGATCACAAAATTAAGCTGATGGGAATGGAAAAGGTTTCTTATAGAAATATCAGTCAATTCTCCCAATTCTTTCCTCTTTCTCTTCCCCCAAATCACCTAGCATTCCTTACCCAGGTCCCCACAGGACTCCTCCTGCAGAACGATGCCTCCTTTGACGGTAGATAGATACGTCAGAGATGAGGTCGTTACTCAGCGCTTGTCACTGCTCACCAGCTCACTATCATATACCTGAATTCAGAACATCCCAACATGGGCCAAAAGCCAGGCCCCTTCCTTAGCAGAAAGTACCATGAGGCAGGGAAAGCTGGAACGGCAGAGGGTGGTGGGGCCTTGCTTGGTTATCAGGACAGCCTTTCCCTGTGTTTGGCATTTGAGGGTTTAGAAACCCTCGTGGAGTAAGTTTGGGAAGGCTGAGGGCTAGTGCTTTCTTTTATAAAGTGTGCTTTTGAACACTTGCCTTGAGGCAAGAGTGTATAAAGGAGGTAAGGATCTGGAAATTGATTTCTTTGAAATTATGTGTATACATTTGGACCCAGGAGTTTGAAAACCACCCAGCCGAGGGAGCTGAGACTTTGATTCCTAAGACTCAGTCCTACGACCTCTCCTGATTCCAGTCTCGGTGTTGGTCAGGGTTCAGTTACAGAGCAGAGCAGAAAGGGATTTATTTCAGGATATTAAATGGTTTATGGAATCATGGGGAAGGTGAACAAACAGGCTCTAGCCTGAACTTCCCAGGGGACTCCTGGAGTCCCATGTAGCAAGGAAGCTTAAGGCTCTTCTCTGACAACTTGGGAAGCTGTTGCTGCGGCTGCTGCATCAGACACCCCGCCATGGCGCTGAGCAGGGTGGGGTTTAGATTCCCAGTCACGTGTAAAGGCAGTCACACCATCCACGTGCCAGTGGAGTACAACTTGGCAGGCAGTGAGAAGGTGCCAGGATTTTTCGGAGTTAAGTGACTGTGGTAAGTAGGATGGGCTAGAAGAAGAGTGAACGCTGGCTGAGCTTGCTGTGGCTGTGAAAGCGTGCAATCCCGGGAGGGTGGCAGGGGCCAGGGGCCACCACAGGACTCAGCGTGCAGGGTTCACCTACAAAGATCACGTGGACCAAGTGTGCCTGGACCAAGTGTGCCTGAAGCGGTGCTCTGCGTGGGTACAAAATGTGACAGCAGTGTTTGCCAGTCCACTTCACTGGCAAAGGGTGAGTTCTATGCCTACTTATTTCCAAAGACACTGCAAGGTAACTTTGTGTTTCTTCAAAGACTCTAAAGTGGGCCAGGCACAGTGGCTCACTAATCCCAACACTTTGGGAGGCTGAGGTGGGCAGATTACTTGAGCCCAGGAGTTTGAGACCAGCCTGGGCAACAAGCAAGACCCATCTACCCAAAATTTTTTTTTTAATTTTTTAAATCAGGAGTTCGAGAGCAACCTGACCAACATGTGAAACCCCGTCTCTGCTAAAAATACAAAATTAGCTGGGTGTGGTGGTGCACGCCTGTAATCCCAGCTATTCGGGAAGCTGAGGCAGGAGAATTGCTTGAACCTGGGAGGTGGAGGTTGCAGTGAGCCGAGATCACGCCATTGCACTCCAGCCTGGGCAACAAGAGTGAAATTCCATCTCGAAAAAAAAAAAAAAAAAATGAGCCGGGCTTGGTGGTGCACGCCTGTAGTCCTGGCTACTTGGGAGGCTGATGCGGGAGGATCGCTCCCAGTCCAGGAGGTTGAGGCTACCTTGAGCTATGCTTGCACCACTATACTCTAGCCTGGGCCACAGAGTGAGACTTGGTCTCTAAAAAAACAAAAATTAATTAATTAAAAATAAAATAAGATAAAAAATTAAAAACAAAGACCATAAATGCCATGAGTTATGTTTGTTTTTTCTAAAATTTTATTCCCAGCATAGGGAATAAATGCAGAAGAGGTGCTTCATAAATATGTACTGAATTAACAGATAAAACGAGGGTTCATAATAAGAACCTAGACTCCTTGGAGGGTCCATGAGAAGGTTTTTCTTTGTGTCTGCGTGACAAATTGTCAGTCCCAGGATGGTGCCAGAAGTAAAGTTGGGTCATTGGAGGGTGACTTTGACAACGTCTGACATCTGCAGAGAAGAGGCAGATGTTTCGATCACCTAGCCGACACTGTTCATGACGTCAAAGGCCACGGTGGCTTTACAGCTACAATCTCAACAGCAACAAGAATTTAATGAGGGCCGATTATGTGCAAGATACTATAGTAAGTGCTTAATATTCATTATCTCATGTAATCCTTACAATAGGCCTTGGGGTAGCTTTTATTATTCCTATTTATAAGTGAGTAAACGTTGTCTCAGGTAGGTAAGTGACCAACCCAAGGTCCTTGGATTAGAGCCTAGTTGAATTTTCACTTGAGCCATTTACTCTGGCCACAGAATAGGAACATTGGAAGGAAATCCAGAGGACTTGGTGATATGGTTTGGATCTATGTCCCCACCCAAATCTCATGCTCAATTGTAATCCCCAATATTGGAGGTGGGGCCTGGTGGGTGGTGATTGGATCACAGGGCTGGTTTCTCATGGTTTAGCATTTGGTACTGTATAGTGAGTGAGTTCTCATGAGGTCTGGTTGTTTAACAGTGTATGGCATTTCCCCCTCCTTCTTCCTCCTGCTCTGGCCATGTGAGGTGTCTGCTTGCCCTTTGCCTTCCACCATGTCTGTAGGCTTCCTGAGGACTCTCCAGAAGCCAAGCAGATGCTGGCACCATGCTTCCTGTACAGTCTGCAGAACTGTGAGCCAATTAAATCCCTTTTCTTTATAAATTGCCTAGTCTCAGGTATTTCTTTATAACAGTGTGAGAACAGACTAATATGCTTGGGCTCTGGACCCAGCTCTGCTGCTGCCTGCCCTGGCTTGGTGGACGTCGCCAGCCTCTCTCCTGCCCTGCCCACAAAGAGAAGTGTACTTCCCAGCCACTGCTCGGGGACAGTCACGCGGCCAACTCTGCCCAACAGGCAGTGAGTGGAGATGACTTGTGCTCTGTGTGGGTGAAGCACTTTGATCGCTGGTCGCCTCCTTTTCTCTCACCGTGAGACGGAGGAGACACGTGTTCGCCAGCCTCCCAGATGAGAAGGCCGTGTGCTTTGATGCTGTGGCTGTAAGATGAAAGAGCCTCCATCCTAGGTCCCAAACAGGGCTGTAGAGCAGAATTTTGTGCAACTCATGTTGGATACCATGTGAGCAAGAGCACACGTGTATGTTGAGGCACTGGGATTTTAGGATTGTTTGTCAACATAGGTAACCCAGGTTATTGTGACTAATGCATTTGATCCACTCTTGTTAATCCTCTAAGTATCGGTTTTGCCATCTGTAACTGATGATAATAATATCTATCAGCCAGCTATCTGGGGGCTGTTAAAAGAGATAAGGGAGGAAATGGTTCCCTCCAGGTCTAACATTCTCCAGAACCATCTAGCTTAGTGAAATGGCATGCTCTAAAAATAGAGTTTTCTTCATGACCATTGTATTATGTGCTTAAGGTCTTAAGATCTGACCCTCTGTATTCGCAGATTTGATGACAAAGAGCCGGAACTAGAGATGTCCAGGGCTTCCTGTGGCTTTGGGTTGGGATTTTTCCAAGCTTCTGTCAGAGGTCAATTCTGTTATTTTGAGAAAGGTGTTGCAGTGAGCCTTGTTTTTGTCTCTCCCTACCCTTGTAATGCAAAATATGGGAGGTATAGACCATTCCCAAAGCTGCCCTGTGGGTTATTAAATAGTGACTGCAGTCAGGGCTGGTGTGGAAGACATTTCGCAAGCTCCCTAATATTTTTATTCTCCCCTTCTTGGACATAACGGAGGATTACATTTCTCCAACTTCCCAGAGCCTTGCTTTGGCTAATGAGATGGGAGTGGCAGGGACACAGGTCACTTTTGGGTGGAGGCATGGAAGAGCTGCTGGGAGACTTCTATGTTCTCTCTACCCACAGCAGTGAACTTGAAGACTGTCTGGGGAGATGGCCATGACCTCAGATGGTGAAACTCTGTCAGCCGAAGTCTCTGACTGGCTGAGGTGAGCAGAGCACCCTTCTGCAGAACAGCTGTGGACATGTGGTGTAGGCAGGAAGTCAACCATTGTTGTTTTGAGCCATGGAGATTTGGCCATTGGTTCCTATTGCAGAATAAATTAGTTTGAACTGGCTAATTCCATTAGGACTGAGACAAAATAGCAATATTAGACCTCTGGACTGGGAGGCAGCAGTCTTGGATTTTAGGTCTCACTGGGGGAACCATGGACTTGGTCTCCCTGGGCTTCAGCTTCCTCATCAGTACATAAAGGGAAATGAACTACATTTTCTCTCAATCATCTGATGATTCTAATAGTTTCTCTATTTGTCTCTCTCTCTCTCTCTTACTCTTTTCCTCTCCTTCTCTCATCCATCCACTCACCCTTCCACCTATCCATCCATCCGTCCATCCATCCATCCACCCATCCACTCATCCATCCACCCATCCACTCATCCATACACCCATCCACTCATCCATCCATCCACCCACCCATCCACTCACCCATCCATCCACCCACCCACCCATCCATCCATCCACCCATTCATCTACCCACCCATCCGTTCACCCATGTACTCATCCATCCATCCATCCACCCACCAGTCCACTCATCCATCCACCGACCCACCCATCCATCTACCTATCCACTCATCCATCCACTCTTCCACCCACCCATCAGTTTATTCTTCTATTTACCCATCCTTCCATTCACCCATCCACACACCCATCAATCCCTCTATCTCTTTATTTATTCATCCATCCTTATTCTAAAGACCAAAGCAAGTGACTGAATCATGATATTTTCACAAAATTCAACTAATATTTTACTTAATTAACATCGTATGCAAAAGTTACCTTAAAAGAAGAAAGCAAACTTATCATGAACTTTTCCTTAGATGACATTATTTCTGAGAGGAAGAAGAATCCAACATTTTCATTGTGAGAAAACCTTTTGTTTCTAAGGTGGGCCTTGCTTCATTTTGTTTGCACATAGAAAGAATAAGGAGCTCTTGAGTTGGGGTCAGACAGCTGGAAAAGATATTTAATCAAACATATTCTAATCAAAATAGTTTTGCTTCCCTTCTTACATCAATTTACTGACTCAAAAATAAACTTCCTCTTATTGAAACTTGATTCCTGACAGATGGAGAAAAAGGGGTAGGAACCTGGAGAAAAGATCACAACTGAGTGACTTGGCAACCTCGTGGTGAGAGTCTCCATCCAAAAGGGCAAGCAGGCAAGAAAATGAGAATAAGATTTACAGGAGAAATTTATATCATGAAAGCAAAGATTGGTGCAAACCCACGTGTATAACACTTTAAGGAATCTGGCAAAGAAAACATAATTCCTCTCCTGTAGAAAGGAGAAAGGGCCACAGGCTAAGATTCTGGGTGAGGAGGAATCCCTAGACAGAGAGGAAATTTTGCTATTTGTTATCAGGTAATAGATCATGTTTCACTTGGAAAAACAGCTGGGAAGATGGAAGTTTATTGGAAAGCTGGCCAGATCTCCTGAGCCAGGGGTATCAATAAACTCTCTCAAGTAGTGACTGTCTTTTCTTTGGTTAAGATTTGGCTTCATTACATATAAAAGAAAACCCCCAGTTATAGTGACTTAAGCATACAAGTGTTCATTTTGTTATCAGGTCTAAATGTAGGCATTCCTGAACTAGTATGGCAGCTTCACAATGTCAGCAGAGACCCAGGCCCCTTCTGCCTTTCCGATCCCACATCCTTAGTGCATAGCTTCCATTGTCAGGGTAACCTCATGGTCCAAAATAGTTGATGGAGCTCCTGCCATCACATCTGCATTCCAGACGGCAGAAAAAAGGAGCCATGAAATGGCAAAATGGGCTCACTACCCAACTGAATTATCTCTTGTTAAGAAACCCTCCCCAAAGCCCCACTAGTACTGTCCCATTGGCCAGAATATAGTTATTGGCAATACTTAGCTATAAAGGCGATTGGGAGATGTAGTTTTTAGTTGGCCAAGTTGCCACCCCCAAATAAAATCAGGGTTCTGTGACCAAAGAAGAGAAGAAAGGATATTATGAGGCAACTAACAGCTTCTGTTATGTTATTTTTTTCCATCTATTATCTATGAGATGACTATTGAACTTAGTTATATATTCAGAAATCTTAAAGCATACTCAGTTATCAGCAGAGAAAATAGTACCTTGGCTCTAAATTCTAAAATGTGTCATTTTAGTAGGCTGTCAGAGTATGTTCTGACAATACCTAGTTTCATGGGCTGTCAGTAGCTGTCAATGATGCAATTTGAAAAGTCAATTCTAGTGACAAATCTTAAAGTGATTTTCACAAGCCTTTAATGTGCTAATGTGTTTTGTGATTCTCCACAAACAATGTCTTCCCAAATCATCTGAGTGTTTTCTCCCTGAGCATTTCATGAAATTACTGCTCCATAGAACACATGGACTTGGAAGACCAGGTCTCCCTTGCTCCCTCCCTCCCTCCCTCCCTCCCTCCCTCCCTCCCTCCCTCCCTCCCTTCCTTCCTTCCTTCCTTCTTTCCTTCCTTCCTTCCCTCCCCTCCTCCCTCCTTCCCTGCCTCCCTCCTTCCCTCCCCTCCTCCCTCCTTCCCTCCCTCCCTCCTTCCCTCCCTCCTTCTCTCCCTCCCTCTCTCCCTCCTTCTCTCCCTCCCTCTCTCCCTCCTTCTCTCCCTCCCTCTCTCCCTCCTTCTCTCCCTCCCTCTCTCCCTCCTTCCCTCCCCTCCTCCCTCCTTCCCTCCCTCCCTCCTTCCCTCCCTCCCTCCTTCCCTCCCTCCTTCCCTCCCTCCCTCCTTCTCTCCTTCCCTCTCTCTCTCCCTCTCTCTCCTTCCTCTCTCCCTCCTTCCTTCCTTTCTTCCTTTCTCTTCCCCCCACCTCTCTCTCTTTTTCTTTCTTTCTTTCAAATCAAGGCCTTGCTCTGTCACCTAGGCCGAAGTGTAGTGGTGTGATCAAGGCTGTCTGCAGCCTAGACATCCTGGGCTCAAATGATCTTCCCACTTTAGCCTCCCAAGTAACTGGAACTACAGGAGTACCGCCAAGCCCAGCACTTTGGGAGGCTGAGGTGGGAGGATTGCTTAAGACCAGGAGTTCAAGACCAGCCTGGGCAACATAGTGAGACCTCCATCTCTACAGGAAAAAAAAAAATTAGCTGGATGTGGTGGCCTTGGCCTTCCAAAATGCTGGGATTCCAGGCATGAGCCACTGTGCCCACCCAGGTCCTCTGTTTCTTTGTAATCTTGCTAGTCTGCTGTAAGCAATCCCAATATGTTTTCTAATTGCTACTCAAGTAGTCGGGTGATTCTGATCATTTCACAAGGGATTCAGAAATACTGAATTTTCACCCTGTGATGAAAGACAGATCGGATCCCACGGGATGGAGGAGCAGCTCCTGCCCCCAGCTCCCTCCTCCACTCACACTTCAGGCTTTCTGTTCACAGTCCTGCCCTATCCTGGGAGTTGGGCTCCCATGAGTCTTCCTCCAGGGTGATGCATTCTCCGACAGTAGTTGAAGAATGTACGAGGTAAAGTTATTTCAAAAACGTATCACTCCACCGTATCATTTATCTGAACACAGAATATTCCAACACAGGCCGAAATGCTCAGCTTCTCAAAACACCCTCAGCCTTCATAGAATTGATATAAGACAGGGGCAGACAGAGTGTCCTGGCGCCTGTTTAATCATTAACCAAGGCTCTCCGTGTTTGAGAAAGTTGGGGAAGATGTCACTCTTTTGGACAAAAAGTACAATAGGGCTTTCCGGGGGCTGGGGCAAGGGCAGTTGGGAGTCAGTGTTTAGTGGGTGCAGAGTTTCAGTCTGGGAAGATAAGAAGGTTCTGGAGATGGTGGTGGTGGCTGCACAACATGTGAGTGCAGTAATGCCACTGAACTGTGCACTTAAAAATGGCTAAGTGGGCACATTTGATGTTATATGTATTTTACCACAGTACAAATACAAATGAAAAAAGAGAAAAAGAGATGGCTTTCTTCTGTGGGGTGGGAGAGCAGCTGTGATTCCTGGCTTGTTCGTGGGAAAAGAGCACCTGTGGAGATGGAGGATCAGGGAAGGGTTTTCTTCTTGCCATCTTTATCAGCCTGTGTTTCTTATATCCCGGGGATCCCGGGAGCACAGAGCGCCTGCTGTCGACTTCGTCCTTGTGCTCTGCATACCCAGGGGCAGGGTGGGGAGGGTTGTCAATACACGTTTTTGTTTGTTTGTTTGTTTGTTTTTTGTTTTTGAGATGGAATCTCGCTCTGTTGCCCAGGCTGGAGTGTAGTGGTGTGGCCTCGGCTCACTGCAACCTCCACCTCCGGGGTTCAAGCAATTCTCCTGCCTCAGCCTCCTAAGTAGCTGGGATTACAGGCACCCACCACCACACCCAGCTAATTTTTGTATTTTTAGTAGAGACAGGGTTTCACCATGTTGGCCAGGCTGGTCTCAAACTCCTGACCTCAGGTGATCCGCCCGCCTTGGCCTTCCAAAGTGCTGGGATTACAGGTGTGAGCCACTGCACCCGGCCTAATGCACGTAATTTTAACGACCAATCAGGTAAGGTCAATTAGTGAGTTGGCAGTGTGGGACATTGGAGAGTAGTGTGCTTGTGTTTCACGGGTGACCTCAGCCTTGCCTGTTGATTTCGATGGACACATTTTCCAAAGTACTGCACTGGCTAAGTTATACACAGTGTTGCTAAATTGGGTAAATAGGCCTTGAGTTTGTGGCCTCCTAGTCCATGCATACATACATTATTTAATTTTCTTAGCAACTTCACAAAGATGGCATTATGGCCATGGTTTGATGAAGAAACAGGTTCAGAGAGAGGAAGGCAGAGTGGATGTTGGAGTTGGGCAGACCTGTGTTCCCATTCCTGCTCTTGCCAGTGCTGGGACTCCACCTGAGGCAACGGGACCTTCTGATTTCAGTTTGTCCCCATAAAATGGCGGGTGCTCTCCTTGTCAGCAAGACTGAGGTAAGGAAAAGGACAGCCAAACAGGGGGTAATCATATTTGCCTTGAAAGGTGATTGTGGCCGGGCATGGTGGCTGAAACCCCGTCTCTACTAAAAATACAAAAATTAGCTGGATGTGGTGGTACGCCCCTGTAGTCCCAGCTACTCGGGAGGCTGAGGCAGGAGAATCACTTGAACCCCGGAGGCAGAGGTTGCAGCGAGCCGAGATTGCGCCACTGCACTCCAGCCTGGATGACAGAGTGACACTCTGTCTCAAAAAGAAAAACAAAAAAAAAAAAACAAAGGTGGTTGTAAAGATTAGAAATACGCTTAAGCACCTAGCACACTTTGCAGAACTTAGTAGGTCCTCAGTAGGCAGTGCCTGAAACCATGAAAACAAGTTATAAGTTATATTTTCGACAGGATCTTTTCAATACAGCAGAACATCTGGATATTGAAAGTACACTGTGTCAACATGGTTTAAATCTTCATACTTGGGAACATCTGGAGAGTTTAGCACTGTGCAGGCCGAACTTGAGTTCAGTGGAGTCTTTTGGGTCACTGAGTAGTAAAGAGAGCTGGCAATGACCCTGGCCTTGACATCCAGTCGTGATTTCTACTGCAATATGCCAGCCATGGAAGTGCTCTTACCTCTTCCTCTGTGGCAGCCACGGAGTGAGTGGACGGAAGCGCCTTGGGAGATCACCCCGTGTGTGTACACACATCGCTGGATGCTCTGTGGATGTGTGAGCCCTCGAGACATCTGGTTTCAACATTGAAACCCTAACATTGAAAGTGGGCCTGCTCTCTCTGTTGGCCCATCAGATCGCTTTTCTGGCGATCTTTCTGGTGTGTCGGACGTCAGCCAGCCAGCCGAGGCACAGGGAGCTCCCAGGGACTCTCTCGTTCTCACATAAGGAAAAACATTCTGCGCTCCTTGTCCTTGTTCAAGTCCAGCTGCCTGCTCTGGAAGAGGAACCACAGGCCTCCCAGCTCCCTGGCTCTGAGACCTGGGCTCTTATAAGCATTTTATCTAGGGACCCTGAAATTACAAGGACAAAGTTAAATATATCTGCACAGAACTTCCCCAGACCTGCCTTGATACCTACAAACACGTGTCGTCATAGTTGTAATGTAGGCGTCCCTTCTCCATCTTTCTTCCCCTCAGCATCTCTGAATCTGGTTCACGCACGTGAAAGCATTCCAGCAAAGCTCAGCAGGTGGCTGTGGGTGAGGGGCCTGGAGAGCCAGCAGAGGGGCCCAGCAGAACCAGTGCCTGCAGGGTGATCTGAGGCTGGAACACAGCTGAGCACAGCACTTGCCAAGGCATGCTCCTCACAACACCAGCTGCAGGGAAATTAGCCATTCCTGTCAGAAAAAGGAAGACATTCCCTTGATCCAGTAGGTTTGGGAAAGGATGTTTTTAAGCCCACCTTATTTGGGGAGATACTTCTTTCAGGCCAGATTATTGATGAGTATGGGATGGATGTGGGCCACGGAGGCTCTGAGAAGACCAACCCAACCAACTGTTTGACCAACAAAGGGAAACTCATCTTAGGAAATGAATCCACGATTCACATCTGCTAAGCCTTACTGTGTGCTTCATCTGGCATCTGAGGCACCAACATCTATACTACAGCACCTTCTGCCCTCCGGGGGCTGAGGGCGTAATGAGGTCAGGTCTGCACACAAGGGAGACAGCAGCCTGGGGCAGGGACTGGAGTGAGGTGGGGAGCCAGGGTGCATCCCCAGCCCTCCCTCCTTTTCTTTGGTCTTCGTCTGTTCATTTATTTTGTAAATTGCCATCACTAAGGTCTATTATTTTTGGTTTAAAAATTCTTGCTCTATTATTAACTAGACATGAATGAGTTAATTTCTCAAAGCCATGACCACCAAACGTATACATGAACAAACAAAACAAAGCATGGCAGTGATCAACCAGCTATTTTGAGCCTAATTCACTGCCTATTTGGATCCATTAAGCCCTCAAAATAGGTTTTGTCCAAATGAACCGTCTAGCAGCTACCTGCAGACGGATCAAATAAAACAGAGAGCTACCAGACCTACTCTGTACCTTGCAGACAATGGGAAAATCCATTACTTCTACTGTAAAAGAGACCTAAAAGTACTACTCACTCCATACTGAAAGCTCATGAGCATCTTCAGAGGGACACGGGAGCTCCCGTGGCCTGGTGTCAGTGCAACCCATTATCACCACGTAACTCCTAATAACGTTCCCAAATAATCCTCCCTGGTCCGTACGAAGCACTTCCTCCCACAGTTTCCCTTGGTTTCCTTGGTTTGCTTCCCTCAGTTTTATGTGATGCTGGCCACCCAAGTGCGTGGACTCCTGCCTCAGCAATCCTGAGGAATGGGCTTAGGACAGTTTTGAGGTCTCTTATTTTTATAAAGGGCACAGTTGGTACTGAGAGGAGAGCCAAATTGTTTCCCTTTTTAAGCAAACATTCATTCCTTCCAGACCACTGAAAGCTGTTCTTTAAAAAGGGGTTATTTATTTGGCAGTATCTGTAATACCTTGGTGTGTCTATTTTTACGTGGTGTGTAAGTGGCTTTATATGGGTCAGTTTCCCCTGTTCTTGAAAGTTTGGGCACTCTTGTGGTTATCACAGTGGTTCGGGCCCTTGATCGTCATGTCACTGTTTCTGAAACAGTAGCCACCACAGTCCATCTGAGGCGTCTTTGGGGAGCAGAGTCCACGCTGGGCAATAAAAGCAGACAGAGGAAATAAGCCTGCAGGTCCCTTCCTTATGGTTTGCACTTGAGGGTTTGTTAAGGGTGGAGAGGGAGTAGGTTTCTCTGAAAACAGAGTCTCTGAAAACGTGGTGTGCTCTTTAGCCAACTGTTTATGTCTACGAGCACAGCCAGAGAATGTCACATGTCCTCGTGCCTACCTAATGTGCAGTTTTCAAAACAACATTAGGGTATGTGTGCCGTTTCTGCACATGGGGATACATCCAGGTAGCAGAGGCGCATTTTGGAAGCACCGGCCGTGATTTGGGAGTGGGGGCCCGGAGGATCGCTGTGTTCAGGGCAAGTCCCACAGCGGCTGCAGAGGAATGTCAGACGGGTCTACAGAGACAGCCCGGCTGTCGGCTGCTGTGAGGTGAAAGCTGCACCTGAGATGGGGGAAGTTAACGGGAAGTCTCTGGCTGCTCTTGAATCCCGCCCCCGCCATGGTCATTACAGGCATCCCTTAGTATCTGGGGAACTGGTTCCAAGATCCCAGAGGATACCAAAATCCTAGGGTGCCCAAGCCCTGAAATGTAAGATTTGCATATAACCTAATCACATTCTCCTGCATACTGTAAATCATCTCTAGACTACTTTTAAGACCAAATACAGTGAAAATAACATGTGAATAGTTGTTATACTGTACTGTTGTTATTTGTATTTTTTATTGTTGTATTGTTATTTTTAAAATTTCTTTTTTGAGATGGGGTCTCGCTCTGTCACCCAGGCTGGACTGCAATGGCATGATCTCAGCTCACTGCAACCTCTGCCTCCCAGGCTCAAGCGATCCTTCCACCTCAAGGATAGAGTAGCTAGGACTACAGGCATGCACCACCATGCTTGGCTAATTTTTGTGTGTGTGTATATATATATAATATATATATATTATTTTTTATTATCTATATTATTATATATAAGTATATATATTATTTTTTATATATAAGTATATTTATATATTATTTTATATATGTTAGTGTGTGTGTGTGTGTGTGTGTGTGTGTATATATATATTTTTTTTTTTTTTTTTTTTTTTTGGTAGAGATGAGGTTTCATCATGTTGCCCAGGCTAGTCTTGAACTAGGCTCAAGCCATCTCCCTGCTTTGGCCTCCCAAAGTACTGGGATTACAGGGGTGAGTCACCGTGACTGGCTTGTATTGTTTTTATTTTATTTTATTTTTAAAAATAATTTGATCCATGGTCAGTTGGATCTGTGGTTGTAGAACCGCAGATAAGAAAGGCCAACTATATTAATGTAAGTTAAACCTGTAAAACATCTGATACCATTTTCATGAGAGACAACCGCTGTGCTGGGACATGAAACTTTAATTTCCAAGTATATTTCATTGTTCAAGGAGTCTCAAGATATTCGAATGGACTATTTCCAACTTTCCTAAGATGGCATCATTGGTGAGTGAAGCAGGTTATTGGCCCAGGAAAAGACTGTCAAGGAACAACTTCTATCCTGATTTAGGTCATTCTCTGGGCAATGACCTCTCATTGGAACTGGAGGGTGTTTGGCTGTGCAACTGAGACTAGGAAAGCATGCATGGTATTTGGCAGCTTTTGTGCATCTGACTTCAGGAATGACACATGCAGAGGTGTGTGTCCCACTGATGTGTGCTGCTCTGCCCTCCGCTTCCTGCCCCACCCTCCGCTTCCTGCCCCAGCGCAGGATGAGCTAAGATGTACAGTGTTCAGCACAAGGGCCAGTAATCAATATTTGTTGCCGTAATTATTACTATTGAGGATCTCAGGCATCTATCCTTGGATCTACTTTGAAACGAAAGTCTTCATTAATCTCATTTAAGAATAATAATTCAAAATCCTTATCAAAATAGCAGCAAAGAGAACCTAGCAGCTCATTAGGAGAATAATGAACCATGACCCAGTGGCTTTTTTTCCAGGAAGTCAGGATTGGCTCAAAGTAGGAAATATATTAATCACATTCAACATATTAATAGAATATAAGAGAAAAAACATTCCGTTATTCCACAGATTCTAAAAAAACATTTATCTAAATGCATTATTCTTTTTTTTTTTTAACTTTGTGTAATGGAGAATTTCAAACAAATATGAAAGTAGACAGAATAGTAAATAAACCGCCACGCACCCACCGCACAGCTCACACTATGGCCAATCTCATTACTCTATACTCCTCACCCACCGCACAGCTCACACTACGGCCAATCTCATTACTCTATACTCCACACCCACCACACAGCTCACACTATGGCCAGTCTCATTACTCTATACTCCACACCCACCGCACAGCTCACACTATGGCCAATCTCATTACTCTATACTCCTCACCCGCCGCACAGCTCACACTATGGCCAGTCTCATTACTCTATACTCCTCACCCGCCGCACAGCTCACACTATGGCCAGTCTCATTACTCTATACTCCTCACCCACCGCACAGCTCACACTATGGCCAATCTCATTACTCTATACTCCTCACCCACCGCACAGCTCACACTATGGCCAATCTCATTACTCTATACTCCACACCCGCTGCACAGCTCACACTATGGCCAGTCTCATTACTCTATACTCCTCACCCACAGCACAGCTCACACTATGGCGAATCTCATTACTCTATACTCCTCACCCACCGCACAGCTCACGCTATGGCCAATCTCATTACTCTATACTCCTCACCCACCACACAGCTCACACTACGGCCAATCTCATTACTCTATACTCCACACCCACCACACAGCTCACACTATGGCCAGTCTCATTACTCTATACTCCACACCCACCGCACAGCTCACACTATGGCCAGTCTCATTACTCTATACTCCACACCCACCGCACAGCTCACACTATGGCCAGTCTCATTACTCTATACTCCACACCCACCACACAGCTCACACTATGGCCAGTCTCATTACTCTATACTCCACACCCACAGCACAGCTCACACTATGGCGAATCTCATTACTCTATACTCCTCACCCACCGCACAGCTCACGCTATGGCCAATCTCATTACTCTATACTCCTCACCCACCACACAGCTCACACTACGGCCAATCTCATTACTCTATACTCCACACCCACCACACAGCTCACACTATGGCCAGTCTCATTACTCTATACTCCACACCCACTGCACAGCTCACACTATGGCCAGTCTCATTACTCTATACTCCACACCCACCGCACAGCTCACACTATGGCCAGTCTCATTACTCTATACTCCACACCCACCGCACAGCTCACACTATGGCCAGTCTCATTACTCTATACTCCACACCCACCGCACAGCTCACACTATGGCCAGTCTCATTACTCTATACTCCTCCCCATGCTTCCCCGTATACTCTTCTGAACCAAATCCTAGACAGCGTATCATTTCATCCATCAGTTATTTAGTACATATCTCTTCAAGAAGAAGATTTTATGAAACAACCATAATGATATTATCACACCAAAAAAAATTAACAGTACTTTCTTAATGTCATCAAATATCCAGTAAGTGTTCAAAGTTCTAATTGTCTTGTGAATACTTTTTTGACATCATGTTGATTTGAATCAGGATCCCAGTAAGGCCATACATTGCAGTTGGTTGATGTGTTTTAAGTTTCCTTTAACCTAAAGGGATCTCCCTCCATCTTTTGGTT
Source organism: Homo sapiens (assembly GCF_000001405.40). Classification (NCBI taxonomy): domain Eukaryota; kingdom Metazoa; phylum Chordata; class Mammalia; order Primates; family Hominidae; genus Homo; species Homo sapiens. Next base: position 1,533,444 of record NC_000006.12, on the reverse strand, counting down.
TTCCCCACTTGGAATACATTTGTTGAAAGACCTGGGCCTGTGTCCTGTAGAGTTTCCCAGAGTCTGTGTTTTGCAGCATGCTCCCTCTGTGTAGTGTATTAAATAGACTGTTCTGTCCTCTGCATTTCTGTAAGTTGGTAGTTCGATCTAGAGGCTTGGTGAGATCCAACTTTGATATTTTTATGAAAAATTACTTTTTAGGTTGTGTGTGCTTTTCTATGAGGAGATACCTAACAGCTGGTTGACTCTTTGTTTGCAATGTTAGCAACAATTTTTTGGTTCATGTTTAGCTTCATTAATCCATTAGTGTTATTTATTCTGCATAAAATATCTGAAAATAATAATAAATACGTCCTTAGCATGATATAAAAGCATATTTTAATCCCGAAGACAGTATCATACTTAAAAATGTAGAAACACTTGAATCATTGATATTAAGGAAAGGAGTAAGACAAGTAGATACACTTTCACAAATATCATGTAACACTGTTCTAGAGATCAGTCAATATAACACACTAGAAGAAATGAGATATATAAAAATTTAAAAGGAGAAGGTAAACTATTGTCATTTGAAGCTTCTATGATAGTTATTTTATTCTAGCAGGTTTTCTTGGGTTTTCCAGGGAATTACAAACAGTAACATATTTTAGCAAGTTGGCTGGGATCAAAATTTGTACCCTGTAGTCATTAGCTTAGGACTTAGCCAAGAACAAACAATAACAATAATAAACCAAAACCAAAACCAACCAACCAACCAACCAAACAAATAAACCAAAACCCCCCAGAACAACAAGAAACCCACATACCATGTTATTGTATAACACTTGATATCATTAACAGGTCGATTTTCTATAGGTTAAATATTTCAATATAATATTTTTGGATGTAGGGAGTTAATGCCAAGGCTCTTATGGGAAGATACATAAGCAAGCAGAGGCAGGAAAGTTCTAGAAAAAAGGAATAATAGGGGAAGGGGACTATCTGTGCCAGATATTAGTCACATATTAAGCTATAATAATAAACAATGAGTTTCTGATGTGGAGCGAAAGCTCAATGGAACAGTCTATAAAGTTCAAGAACATTCAAATACATATTAGAATTTAGTATACGTGCTAAAAGTATGACAAAAGTGCAAAAAGACTAAAAGAAAATAAATACAGTTCATCCTCGGTATCTGGGGAATTGGGTCCAGGACCCCCACAGATACCAAAATCTTCAGATGTTAAAGTCCCTGATATAAAATGGTATAGTGTGTACATATAACTGTATACTTTAAATCATCTCTGGGTTACTTATGATAGCTAATACAATGTAAATGCTATGTAAATAGTGGTTATACTGTATAGTTTTTTTATTTGTATTTTTTTTATTGCTGCGTTGTTATTTTTAATTGTTTCTTTTCCAAATATTTTCCATCTGTAGTTGGTTGAATCTGCAGATGTGGACCCATAGTGGGATGACTGTATGTAAAAGAAAAAACCTTCCACATGGCGGAAAACAAACAAAACAGCAAAATACCCCAAATACCTGAGTCAAAGGGGAAAGAAATGCTTCAACTTGGACTGCACAGGGTTCTAATGCTCTTGATGTATAGAGTTCTTACAAATTAGTAAGGAAAGAACCCAGTAGAAACATGGGCAAAGAGGGTGAAGTGAGAGTTGAAAGACAAGCAGAATCAATGCCTCTAAAGCCTAGCAAAAGATGCTCAACCTCATAATATAAGAAATACAACTCAGCCAGGCGCGGTGGCTCACACCTGTAATCCCAGCACTTTGGGAGGCCCACGCAGGTGGATCATGAAGTTAGGAGATCGAGACCATCCTGGCTAACACAGTGAAACCCGGTCTGTACTAAAAACACAAAAAAATTAGACAGGTGTGGTGGCATGCACCCGTAGTCCCAGCTACTCGGGAGGGTGAGGCAGGAGAATCGCTTGAACACCAGGGAGGCAGAGGTTGCAGTGAGCGGAGATCGTGCCACTGCACCCCAGCCTGGGTGACAGAGTGAGACTCCATCTCAAAAAAAAGAAAAAAAAAAAAAAGAAATACAACTCAAAACTTCAATGAGATTTTTTTCATTTATCAGATTAACAAAGATTAAACAGGTGATAAAATATCATAGGCATAAGGAGAGACAGTCACATTCACACATGGTCAACTTAAGTGAGAACTGGCATCAATATCTGTGCAGGACAATTGGACAATTCCTACCCATAATAAAAATGCACATGCCCTTTGACCTAGCAATCCCACTTTAGGACTATATCTTGCAGATATAATTTCACAAGAATGTGCAACATTGCTCATAATAGGAGAAGTCTGAGAACAACTTAAATGCCCATCAGTGGGTGGCAGGTTAAACAGATTATGGTAAATCCACATGGGGATACTACACAGCCATGAAAAAGAACAAGACTGTTCTAAATGTACTGATATAGACAGGACTCCAAGACATGGTGCTAAGTGAAAAGATAGTAATATTGTAATAATATTGGTAATAAGTGAAAAGTGAATAATAAGTAATAAGTGATAGTAATAAGTGAAAAGAAAGTAATATTGTGCTATCACATGCAAAAAAATAGAAGCGATGTACATGCCTATACTATATATGCATAAAATTTCTTTAAAAAGCTGTCTGGGGTTTGGTGAACACATAACAGTCTCTAACACAAATTGTATAAAGCTGAAGCAAGGCGCTGGTTACAGATAATGATCTGAATATTTCAAAGGGGGAGTTTTAAAAGAACCGAAACCAGATGAAACTGATTATCTCTCATAATACCCAGATAGAAAGACTGGCCCAGGATCTTCAAGGAAGTTTGTTGCAATCAGGGCCCAGTAATTTCATTATCAGAGTGTCGCTGATTGCTGATCCCAGGAGGCCACCTGGGATGGCGTGATTACCCTGCAGGGGCTGATGAGGTTCCACCAAGAATGCAGCAGGTGCCCAGGCTTCCTGCTCTGGGGACTAATGCTTAATTGGTAGCTGGTTGGTTCAGGAGGTGGCGGGTTGGTTCCCAAGAAGCTGATGTCAAGGGTTTTATTCGTATGGGCTCTGCGTGGGTTCACATGGGCCCTTGGTCACATGGGATTCTGGGCAGGGGAGCTGTTTGGGGTGGATGGTTAGAACAGATCTTGGTGCTGTTACCTTCTCTGTGCCTCGATTTCCATCCCAGCTCTGCAGTCATCCACTTACTCAAGGAGGGTCAGTATTAGGTCTGTCTCCCTGCTCATTCTGCCTGCATGCAGTAAGCCAATCACTGTGACAATGGGCTTTGCAAAGAAGAAAGGGTTGATCCATGAGGCTACGAAGCAAGGAGGCAGGAGAACAGGTCTCAAATCTGCCTCCCCAAAAGTCAGGTTAGAGATATATATGGCATAAGGAAGCAAGGTGATCTGAGGTGTGGGGAAAGGTGACTGAGGGTGAAGAAAAGCGAGGTAATTGGCCATGTGTACATGCATAGTCAAGCTTCATGGCTCTTCATGGCTCTTCCTGGCTCTTCATAGGCTGCATGTTCAGAAAATGGTGCCCCTGAGGGGGCAGTTTTTGGCCCGGTGATCTCAAAAGGTCACCTCTCAGGCATTCATGCAGGCCTAGTTGAAAGGTTGGTGGTCTCAACTGGTTTAATCTGGACAGGACCTGCCCCCTAGTTCCTAAAAAACAACTTTAAGTGACTGTTACTGTAGTGACCCACTGTCAGAGATGTTATCTATCAGGAAGCTAGAGGGAGTTGAGGCAGGTGCTTTTGGCTCTGTGACTTTTAGCTACATAGGTTAAAAAGCTGACAAGAAGCAAGTGATTAGAAGCATGCAAGGCAGGTTACATTTGATGGGCTTAATCAGATTAGCCCTTGGTTTCACGCCCAAAGCCATTCCTTCACTCAACACCCCCACGGCTTGCCACGAGCTGGGAACAGGAGAAGTGGGAGACGCTCTTGTTTCCCGGACTTGACAGTCTAATGGGAGAGACAGACACAAGCAGACACGTGTCATGTGGGCAATTCCTGCCACGCTAGAGGGGAAAACACGGCACAGCATAGGAACCCCAAGAAGCTCAGGAGTGTGACTGTCCGAGGGACCACGTTTGATGGTTTACAGGGAAATCATCTGTCTAGGACAGTAGAGAAGCTTTTCTGGGAAGGGCTGTTTAATATACGAATAAAGAGTCCTGAATGTTGGAATTAAGATCCTCGTCAGTAGAAAACTCCTTAGACGCCTCAACATCTGGGAAACATGGCAGATGCCCTGCCCCTAATTTCTCACCAGGTTTCTCCTTCTCGTCTTCCAAAGCTGTGCCTTAACTTCCTCGAAAGACAACATCAGTGCTGGCGGGCCTCAAGAAGAGCCATCCCAAGGTATTGACTAGGCATCAGCGTCTTCACCAGGGCAACACAGAACATCCCTGCAGAGTTCCTGGTGGCTGCAGTGGCTGGTAGGGGATGTATGCCTGCTTTCCATCAGATTCCCAAAGCGGAGCCCCTGGAGGCTTTGGCCCATGGCCCTGAAGCTCCCTTTCACAAGGAAGAAAGACTTTGCAAAGCCAACACCACTATTGGAGAGAAAGTGGAGAATGTGTATTAGAAGTACTAGTCTTTGAAGGCAAAACAGCTGTATAGAGTGAGCTTAAGTGCTGGATCCCTGTGGTTAGGAAGGGACACTAAGCCTCCGGGATGTGAGAGTCCCATGGAAGGCAGTAGGCCCAGGATAAAGCAGGTGTCAGCTCAGAAAGCCCACCATCACCCAGAAAAGGGAAGAAATACGCTACCACCATCACTCTTTCTGCCAATGACTTCTTTGCACACCTCCACCCTATCTCCTGGCTCAGTCTCCCATGTTCTCATAGCTAGGGAGGTCTCCATTGTAATTTGTATGGGGAGGTTAACCTATAGGCCATTCTGATGATCCCAGCTCCCTTTCACTACAACCCCCGTCTGCATCCTTTGCTTTGCAGTAGGATTTGAGAGAGGAAGGATGAAGATGTAGCCACAGGATACATTTAAACAGGCACAGAGTTTGAGGGGTGGGGGGGAACAAAAGCAAAACAATAAAACCTTCACCAGTCATTAAAGAAATGAAAATGAACCTTTTGAGATTGTCAATTTTTATCTGCTAAGTCAAGAAAAGCTAATTTAATTCCTGGCAATTTCACAATAAAAAAAATTGTGCTAGCTCTTGGTGGCATTGTAAGTAGTTAAAGGCTTTTTGGGAAGTAATTTGAAATACATCAAGTCTTGAAAATGATTATACCAGTGGATCCAATCATCTCGCTGGTGGAAATTCATCTGAAGGAAATGATTCAGTGGAAAAAACAACCCGTCTACACTTGTTGCACCTAAATGTCCAGGAATAAGGGAATGACAGAAGAAATCTCAGCACATTCTCTGAATGGAACAGAAACCGAGCGTTTGGAACTAGAATTGCGCAGACTGAATTGAATATGGAAGTGGCTTTAAATGGCATGTTAGGTGGAAACACTGGATGTCTGGTTGAAATTTGGTAAGACACACATTCCCATGGTCAGAATCGGAAAATTTCAACAAATGAAAATCATGGGGTTCACAAAGAGGTGTTGTGGGTTATAGAAAGCTATTTTCAAAAATTTCTTTAATGATTCAAAATTGTTTTTCAAAAAAAGTAGAAGATTTAGAAACATGTATTTTAGGAAGTATGGCCCATGGTGTCTATTGGAAAAAAAGTGGAAGACCTGATGCATTGCCCAAGGGGAACTTCTAGCTTAAGATTACACTGATGAGGACTGGGAAACACTCAGGCACTTTCAGGCACGCTGAGTAACAGGGGTGTCCTTTTACACAGAGACAAGGTGCTCTGTGGTCCACCCTTTACTTGGATCCCCAGATCAGCATTCTCATCAGGCAGAAGTAACCAGAGGAGGAAACAGCATTTCTTCAAAGCTGAAGAGAGCTTTTTGGAGGGGAAAATAAAAAATCCTAGGAACTCCTTGCATGACTGATGGTTTGAACAATGGCTTTGCACCCCAAGACCAGCCTGGCCTCGTGGTTGTAAATCTGGGGGCCGTTGACAAACGGTTTCCCACCTTGGGACTTGAGTCTGCAGTTCAAGAGTCACGTGGGCCTGCCTGAGCCGCAGGGCTTGGCCCCTGTGCTGAGCACAGGCTTCTAGAAGAAGGCTTACGGGAAAGGAAATGCTCGGGTTTCACATGAAGGAGGGTGTGTGTGGAGGGGGCAGGGCGGGAGCAGGAGGGAAAGAATGGTCCCTTTCAACGCAGACAGATGCAGTCTGGCTCAGAGTCAGCCCGGTCTCAAAAAAAACCCAAGTGGTCCAGTAACATTTAAAAATCTGCACACATTCTCAGTTGTATTTTAAATACCGCACAAGGACAGACAATAAATGTGATGGCTTTTCCATCCCCTGCATGTGGAGTGCCTGCCATGTCCTGAAGCTCTCAGCATACTGGCACAGGGAGACACATGTACATGCCCACGGTGGGTGTGTGTAAATGCTACCTACAAACACGAGTGCACACCCACACACACCACTGCAGCACACATACTTCCATTCTCGCCTCAGAAAGCTCCAAGCCTGCAGTTGATCTAAGTTTGGCATGGGCTGAAGGCCACACTTGGAACGGCTGCTTGGACTGTTTCTGAGCAGAGTGACAGGCACAGCTTCTAAGAAAACGAATTCCTTTTTTATCGTGCTGGTAAATGAAGATATCAATCGTTGGTTTAGAAGCTATGCTGCAGGGAAGGACCCAGCCCTGATGCACGCCTTCAGGCTCTAGGACAGAATCATTCTGCTCACGAGCTTCCAGTTTCTAAGTGTTCATTCCATGATGGAGAAAATGACATGGAAAATAGGAGTCACGGGGTTTCCAAGGCTCAGGGAGGGGCTTGCTCCCGGGTGCTCCCATCCTCATGGTCCTTTCCTTGATGTTGTGGCTTATTCAGGTGTTCCTCACTCAGGACAGCCCAGAGCGGCAGATCTGGGCCAGGAAAGGCCCTGGGGTGTCCCACTGGGGAGCCAGCTAGACCTGGGTCAGAGGGAAGCCTCTGTGAATCAGGCACTGTCACGTCAGCCTCTTGAGGACGGCAAATGCCTCATGAAACTGTTGCCTAATGGAAGGCAGTGCGCGTCCTGGGCAGGGGTGGCTCTGCTGCCGGAGGGTAACCTGGAGGGTTGAACTGGGGTGGACGGGAAAGGGGCAAGTAAAGTGTCCCGTGCATCTGCTTTATCCCCTAACCAGCCTGCCAGGAAAAGTGGACAGACAGGTGGGGCTGGGGGCCAGAGAATCGCTGAAGGGCTCACAGGTGGGACTGGCTCAATGGCCGTCCCCAGGCCAGTGGGGTCTGGGTGGGTGCTCACAGCTGCTGGAGAACAGGCCCTGGAATCACACAAGAGCCCAGGAAGCAGTGCGGGGCTGTATATTTATGCACTCCTCATATATTCTCCCGGGACAGCGAGATGTTCTACCGGGAACAAACAGGAGATGCAGAGCCCTGTGCCCTTTGTGCCTTTGGGAAGGTCATGGTGCCCTTGTCCCTGAGCGTGTCCTTTTCTAAGAAGCGTGCTCTGGGCCGGCTCGCTGACTCCTCCTGCTGGGGCCCTGTTCCTCTCTGTTTTGGCTTCGTGTGTACTAAATGGGGCATTTGTGCCAGGCCAGTTCTCAGAAAGCTGGCACTCCAAGGCTTCTCAGGGATCGTCTTGTCCAACCCTCTCATTTTCAATGAGGGACTTCCTGCTCAGAGAAGGCACAGGACTCCCTAAAGCAACCAGGGGCCAGCGAGCTGGGCCAGGGATGCTTGTTATTTCTGCTGCTTCTCACCACCAGTCCCGGAGTCCAGGCTGTCCTGAAGACTGAGGAGCTGGAGGAAGCACTCTATAGCGTGTGAATATTAAACAAAATGTGGGAACACTCATCCTGTGTTGCAACAAGAGTGATATGCTGGAGCAGAATGGGAAGGGGGCACGCTGCCTGCTCTCTGCCCACACACTGGGTTCTCTCCACAACCATTGCCCCCAGCAGTTCAGGCAGGCCCAGGAAGGGGCCTGTGCAAGTCGCTGATGTCCTCTTCTGGGGAGGGAGCTAGAAAGAGCCCTGGTGCCAGAGATCTGGAAGGCAGCAGGGCCCGGGCAGCACCGACAGTCACCCCTCCCTGTCTTCGCCCACGTGTTTCTCTGAAATTGGGGCAGAATGGGAATTAGCTACCTTTGATTTTTTATTGTGTTAAAATACACATAACATAAAATCTACCATCTTAACTTTTTTTTTTTTTTTTTTGAGATGGAGTCTCATTATGTTGCCCAGGCTGGAGTGCTGTGGTGCAATCTCACCTCATTGCAACCTCCGCCTCTTGGGTTCAAGTGATTCTCGTGCCTCAGCTTCCGCAGTAGCCAGGATTACAGGCTTGTGCCACCACACCCAGCTAATTTTTGTATTTTTAGTAGAGACGGGGTTTCACCATGTTGACCAGGCTGGTCCCAAACTCCTGACCTCAAGTGATCCACCCCCAGCCCCAGCCTCCCAGAGTGTTGGGATTACAGGCGTGAGCCACCGCACCCAGCCCTTAAACATTTTTAAGTGTGCAGTTCAGTGTGGCATTAAGTATACTCACAATGGTGCACAGCCGTCACCACCATCCATATTCAGAACATTTCATCTTGCAAAACTGAAACTCTGTCCCCAGGAAACACTAGCTCCCCATTCCCCCTTCCTGCAGCCCGTCACCACCATTCTACCTCCTGTCTCCACGAGTCTGACTACTGCAGTGCAACGGACTGAATGTTCATGCCGCACCCCCTTTTCCACAAAGTCACATGTTGACATCCTGACCCCCAAAGTGATAGTCTTAGGAGGTGGGGCCTTTGGGAGACAATACAAACAGGTGGTGGGGCAGAGTCCTCCTGAATGGGATTGATGGACTTATAAAAGAGACCCGGAGGGATCCTCGGCCCCTCCCACCATGTGAGGGTGCCCTGAAAAGACGGCAAGAACCAGGAAGAGGACCTGCGCCAGGCACCGCATCTGCCGGTGCCTTGATCTCATACTTCTCAGCATCCGGAACAATGAGAACTGAATTTCCGTCATTTATAAGCTACAGTCTATGGTATTTTTCTGTGGCAACGCGGAACAGAACGGCAGGTAGGTGGGTGGTCAGCGGAGTGCCGCGGCAGTTGTGCTCTGGTGATTGGCTGGTTTCACTGAGCGTTCGGCCCTGCAGGTTCATCCAGGCCGTGGCACGTGTTTCCATGACTCCGCCCCCTCGGCCCGCGGTTGCGGCCACCCGGGAGCACGCGGCTTGCCGGGAGCGGGCGCTTGGCACGGGCGCCCTCTAGCGTTGCTGGAATTGGGGCCGTCGCGGCCCAGGCTGGGCTTCCGGAGCTCGGGCCCCGCACTCTGTGGCTCGGGGGCTGGTCCGCACCAGACCCCTCGCCGCGCTCCCGCTTTCCCTGCATTCACACAGGAGGGAGACGCGGACTCGGGGCGTGTGCAGGGAGAGGGCGACTGAGCGTGGGGATTTTCACACGCTTCTGCGAGACTTGGAACGTTGGCTGGCTTGAAGCAGCTTTTCTGGTTTTTTTTTTTTTTCTTTTTTCCTAAGTTAACATTAAGTATTTTAGAGAAAATGGGTTTATGCAGCTGACAGAATGCCCGACCTTGATGATGTTTGTCTGCTGGACTTTCCTGTGTGCTCCACGGACCACCAGGACATCACTTCGGGGCAGCCCGAGAGTGGCTGACGCAGAGTGGCCTGTGTGCGAAAGAGTGGCTCACGTTCATTCCCGGTGAGCGCCCAGGACCAGCCATCCAGAACATTCCTTTTCTTGTTCAAACTAGACACCCCTGGAGATGCCCAGGAACAATGGAGTGAAACTTCGTCGGGGAAGTGGGCCTGGGGAGGGAGTGGGGAGACTCCGGACTGTAGTGGCTATTTCCCCACCCACATCCCGCGCTGGCCAGCCGGGGGGTGCAAAGCAGTGCCGACGCTAAGAATGGTGCAGATGCCAGCACCTCTTCCTTCAAGAGGAGTGGAAACCAAGCAAGGCGGTGCACCTCTGCCAGCTGAGCCCTACTCCACTCATGACATTTAAATATATATACACACACACACGCGCGTATATTATTTGTATGGTAAAATATATACCATAAACATCACCCTTTTAACCATTCTTAAGTGTGCAGTGCACTGGCATTAAGTACATTCACATGGCTGTGCAACCATCACCACCACCCGAATCAGGACTTTCTCCTCGTCCCAAACAGAAACTCTGCCCATTAAACCCCAACTCGCCATCTTCCCTTCTCCAGCCCCTGGCAAGCTCTATTCTACTTTCTGTTTCTGTGGATTTGACCACTCCAGGAACCTGGAGTGGACTGATATAGTATCTGTCTTCTTGTATCTGTGCATAACATCCTCAAGGTTCACTCGTGCTGAGATGTGTGACAGGATTCCCTTCCTTTTTTATGAGATGGGGTCTTGCTATGTTGCCCCAGCTGGAGCACAGTGGCTGTTCACAGGCATAATCCCACTACTGATCAGCACGGGGCTTTTGACGGATTTCCTTCCTAAAGCAGAATAACATTCCATGGTGTGCACAGACCAGTGAGGAAGTTTCAACCGAGCGCAAGTCTGTTGGAGAGGTCGTCCAGGCAAATCTGGTCTCCCTTCCTGCTGCTTTCTGGTCTTTGCTTGGCTTTATGTGGAGGGGTTTCTTCTCTTTTCAGGTCTGTAGTCTGGTGAGAAGACTGAGGCTAAGCCCTGTGGCTGGTCAGCAGACGGGGACCATGCTGAGACAAGCCAGGCAGCTCTGGCTTGGGGGTTCAGGGGACTCCAAGGAGGGAGGAAGCACTGTGGGCTGAGAGGGAACCCACAGGCTGGGTGGGCTTCTTGGAGGAGGAGGCGGGGCTTGAGCTGGGAGGAAGAGGGTCAGATGAGTTGAGTAAGGGAGGGGGACACAGGGAGGCACAGTGGAAAGCTGTCCTCACAGGTGTAAGCATTTGTTTCCAGAGGTTTCCACAACGGACAGTTTAAAGGTGACCTCTGCTATCTCCCTGGTCAGTTTTCCTTTTGCACGAAAACAGCAGAAAGCCAATTTTGAGCTCCTGCATCAAAAAAAGCTATGAGCTCTGGAGGTGGAAAGATTTGGATTTTTCTGCTATTATACTCTGCCACCTTAGACATGTTTCTTAATAACCTGAGACATATCTATGGAATGGGCATGCTCATTCCGTATTTTCAGAGATTTTGCCTGATTTTCAGAGACTGAAAATGACGATCCCAGTTTGGACAACGTGCCTGATTTTCAGAGATTTTGAGGGTATTAATGTATGTGAAGTTGCCCAGCACAGTGCCTGGCACATAGAGATTCTCAATAAATAGTAGAAATGGTAGGAGCAGAAGTAGTGGTGATAGTGACAGGAGAGTAATAGAAGATTAATTCATTCATTTAACTCATACTTACTTCAGCCTGCTGTGAGCAGACATCAGGTATCATAAGCGAAACAGGCAAGACACCTGCATTGAGGAGCTGTGTGAAAAGGGAGATGGTGTGAAAGAGCAAAGTGATAAGAGCAACCAAGATTGTAAGGTCGTGATAAATAAGATGAGGCACCGAGAATAATGCCAGGCCTTTTCCTAAGGCGGATAGCTCAGGCAGTCAGGGAAGACCTCTTTGTGCTGCGATGGTCAGGGCTGGGAGGGAGAGCTGGGCAGGAGCTTGGTGCCTCTGAAGAGAAAGGAGCCCTAGGGGTTGCTCAGGGAGCCAGCAGGGAAGTGCTGAGAGGTGGTTTGGAGGTAGCTAGTAACCAGAGAAGGAGACCGATTGCATTCTAAATGCAGTGGAAAGCCAATGATAAGAGGGTAAAGTGGGAGATGACTAGATCTGATTTATGTTTTAAAGGATAAACCTAAAACTCAGCAACAAAACAATTGAAAAATGATCAAGGGGCTTGAATAGATATTTCTCTGAAGAAGACATACAGATAGCCAATGAACATATGAAGAAATGCTCAGCATCACCAGTCATTAGGGAAATGCACGGCAAAACCACAATGAGATCCCATTTCATACCCATCAGGATGGCTATCATAAAAAAAAAAAAAAAAAACAGGCCGGGCGTGGTGGCTCACGCCTGTAATCCCAGCACTTTGGGAGGCCGAGGTGAGCAGATCATGAGGTCAGGAGATCAAGACCATCCTGGCTAACATGGTGAAACCCCGTCTCTACTAAAAATACAAAAAATTAGCCAGGTGTGGTGGCGGGCGCCTGTAGTCCCAGCTACTTGGGAGGCTGAGGCAGGAGAATGGCGTGAACCCGGGAGGCGGAGCTTGCAGTGAGCCGAGATCGCACCACTGCACTCCAGCCTGGGCGACAGAGTGAGATTCCATCTCAAAAAAACAAAAACAAGTGTTGTTGAAGGTGTGGAGTAACTGGGACTCTTGTGCAGTGTTAGTAGGAATGTAACATGGGGTAGCTGTGGCTGGGAAACTGTATGGTGGTTTCTCAAAAAATTAAGCCTAGAACTACCATAAGATCCAGCAATTCCACTTCTCAGGATACTCAAAAGAACTGAAAGCAGGGGCTCGAACAGCTGCTTACCTGCCATGTTTATAGCAGTGTTATTCACGATAGCCAAGAGGTGGAAACAACCCATGTCCATTGACAGATGAATGAGTAAACAAAATGTGGTCTATCCACACAATGGAATATTAGTCTTCAAAAAAAGAGGACATTCTGACACATACTACAACATGCACGCACGTCATGCTCACTGAAATATGCCAGACACCAAAGGACAAATGCTGTGTGATCCCACTCACACGAGGTATCCAGAGTAGTCAAATTCATTGAGAAAGAAAGTAGAGTGGTGGCTGCCAGGGGCTGGAGTGAAGGGAATGGCGAGCTGGTGTTTAATGGGGACAGAGTTTCAGTCTGGGGAGATGAAAAAGTCCTGGAGATGGATGATGGTGACAGTTGGACAACCAAGTGAATGTGCTTAATGCCACTGAACTGTACTCTTAAGAATGGCTAAGACAGTACATTTGATATTGTTTATATCTCACCACATACACACACAGAGATGGGACTGGAAGGCTGCAAGTGTGGAGACAGGGTCCCAGCAGGCAGGCTGTTGCAGGAACTGAGCACAAGATGCTGGCAGCCCCTGCCAGGGCCGTGGCTATGAGTGGGGAGAAGCAGGCGGCCTGCGATATGGCACAGACAGGACTGCCACAGGTTGAATGTGGGAGTAGGGAGGGGAAAGGACCCAAGGAGGAGACCTCAAGTTTTGAAATGGGCAACTGTGTCGTGCCATTTGCTGAAATGATGGCAACTGGGGAAGGGTCTCTTTCAGGGGGAAAAGCAAGTGCTCCTTTTTGTCCATACCATTATTTCAAAACCATTTCATTGAGGTATAATCGACACACAATAAACTACACATATTTAAAATGCATGATTTGATAAATTTCAACGTATGCACATACTAAATTTGAGATGTCTATTACATATCCAAGTGGGTACGACAAGTCGTCAGTTGGATATTTAGAGCTGGAGCTCAGGGGAGAATTTAGAAGGAGTCATGTAATTTTGGAAATGACCAGCATAGGGAGGGTATTTACAGACTCGAGACCAGACAAGAGCATGTTAGAAATAGGAAGAGGAAGAGTTCCCATTTCTTGAATACCAGTGTGTGCTGGGCACATTTACTGTAAGCTACTTGTTGCAACAGCCTGAGGGGAAGGAAGTATCACCTTTGTGATGGAAAATGCTAGTTGTAAGCCAACATCCACTCTAACCCTCATTCATAAAAATAAATTCTACCTGGGATCTGGATACCAACCAGGTACAACCTCTCCCAGTCCTCTCTGCAGTACTTGGGCCAACTTAGCTAAATTCTTCCCATAATGTGGGCCATTTCCATATTGGGGCCCATAAAACAATGGGAGTGCATCATCCTTCCTCACTGCTCCCTCCTTACTGACAACAGTGGCAATGACCACAGCTACCCTGGAAGTCATGGGCCAAAGATGGCAGACATGCTCTCTGCCTGGGGCCCTGAATGACTGCGTGGCCCAGAACCACCTGTCAAACTAGAACATTCATCTAGACTATGATGCGAGAGAGCAACAAACTCCTTTGTTAGTTTTTAAATTTAAATTATTTATTTACTTTTTAGACATAGGGTCTCTTTTTGTTGCCCAGCCTGGAGTGCAGTAGCACAATCATTGCTCACTGCAGCCTAGAACTCCTGGCCTCAGGCGATCCTCTTGCCTCAGCCTCCTGAGTCAGCTGGGACTGCAGGTGCTCACCACCATGACGCCTGGCTATTCCCAAAGCTTCTCCCTAAGACGCCGGAATGTGATGGGATCCTAATGAGAAAGAGGGATCTTTGGTTTGTGTTTCCATGACAACCAAGTAGACTGATGGCTGTTACAAGGTTAAAGAGGACTCCTTAGCTGGGCTGGGAAAGAGCACTGTCTTGACCTTCAGGTCACAAAGTGGGGAGTGCTTCCTCCCATCACCATGATGCCATCCATCCGGATGGGCCTGGGGCAGATGCCAGGGAGGCTGAGTGTTTGACTTCCCGGTCACGTGGGGCAGACACGGCTACTCAGGCCAGCACAGGAGCTGACATGGCTTCGGACCTCCAGTGTGCCTCGGACTGTTAATCACCACTGCCCGCTTTGGAACCAAGGCCAATCGAGGGCACCAGGCTGGTGGTCGTTGCTGGAACCTTCACCTGGAGGATGAGAAGCTGTCAGAGCTCCAGGTCTGATTCCCAGCTCCAGGTGACTACAGAATTTGTTGTCCAAACTGGGATCGTCATTGGCTTGCTTCCCAACACACATAGACACCAATGCTATGGCATGGGCTTTTGAGAAAAGAAAAAGCCTTATTGTGAATGGACTGGCAAAGAGACTGGAGAGGACGCTCATATCCATCTCCCCCAGCCAAAGTCTGGGGGCAGGTTTTATAGGCAGAGGGTAACTATGGGGGAGACAGGAAGATGCCGCAAGGTGGGATCCAACTGGGTCATGCAAAGGGGCAATGATGGGCCCTTGGCTGTAAAGTCTGTACTGCAACAAAACAGGGCACCTCTTGCTTCTTAATTTGCTCTCTGTTCTGCAGCCTGAATATTTTGGTTCCACCTGTGGTTGGCTTTTATGTTCTGGCCAGCATGGATAGGGCTTGCTTAGTTCATCTGGCACACTCAGATTATATGACTTGTAATCTGGGGGTCTGTTGCACTGAAAAACAGCTCACATTTCATTACATTTTGTTACTGACAGGGTTGAATCGGTTTGAACTAGTTCTGTGGTTACAGAATGCCTTTCAATCTGAAAGGGGATGGTGTTAATGATGACCCCGGGACAGCAGGATAAAATGATACTGCCCTGGGCAAGCTAGAAGGGATGGCCACTATGCTCAGCACTAACCAGTTCCTGCAAGGGCCTCAAAGGGTCTCTGCCTTGACCCACTGGCTTCAATACATGAACATCTCTAAGGATCCCTCATTAAGGTCTTTTTCTTACCTATCAGCCTTGTGTTTTTTTATGTGTTTGCTTTGAATCAGGTTGCAATGTTATAGATTTTTAAAAAGAACACACAAAGCCTTCATATTTTTATAAGTATTCCAAGGAAACAACTGCTTTAAGTTCAGTCTTTCTTCCAGTGGTCTTGCTGGGAGAGCTACCCAAGGGTGACGGCAGAAAAGATGAAGGACAAAATCTAAACAGGCAGGTGCTTCCAGGTTCTCATGGACTTTCTGACTCCTGTATGGGCTAGAATCTGTAAACTTGTAAGTCTACGAATGTGTTTCTTTGGATTTACAGCGGAGTATTTTGTGTGTCTTAAAATCCGCGTTCAATAACGTTCCCCACAGCTAAACAGCTAGATACGGAGATCCAGGGGTGAGTGGCCCCTTCGGCTGCCTGCATCACTCATTCCTGCTTCCTGGCGCTGATTTGGCTGATGGAGGGGTGGAGTTACAGTGACACCTGGGGACAGGTGACTGGCTCTGGCCCTCTCCTTCTTGAAACCATAGTTAATTATCACACCCTTGCCTGACCTGTCTTGTCCTCAGTTGTTCCCCCACCGAAATCCCACTGCTGTTGGTTATTGCTTGTGAAGGTGCTTCCTCTTTAGAAGCCACCACTTCCTGCCTCTCTTGACCAGGCAAACCCCACGCATGCTTTCAGGTCATTGCTCCCCATCTTTCATTCTGCACGGTGTGTCCACCCAGGCTCCTGTTGGAAGTGCTGGTGCTTCACGGAGCAGAGAACCTGCTAGCAAATGAAGAATGGGCACCTCACTTTCCCTGGAAAGAATTCTCTCGCAACACTAACTTTCTCGTAATACAGACTCTGTTGTGTGCATGCTGGGGACTGTCGGTTTGCAGTTAGAGCTCAATAAATCCTGTGGCCTTGAGTTGGCCCCTGGGGTATTGCCGTCCACCTCATAAAACTATTACTTAATTAAGTATGGCTGAGTACAATTGGCAGCCTCTGCTTCTGGCCAGAGCACCAGACCTGAGTGTAGATGTGCTCTGGTCTCCTCTGTGCCTCGAGGCTGGTGGGCCCCTCGTGCTGCAGAGGAGACTTCTCTGCAGAGCTGGAGGGCAGTCCTCTGGGATCATGGAAAACACACACGATTGTTACAGGGCTCCCTCCTGTGCCATCAGAACTCAGCGCTCAGAGGTCGCTGAAGGGCTTGCTTTTGGCAAATTGTGTTTCATAGATGTGACATAATTAAAAATAAATAACAAAAAACCATCTTTGATTGGGGAAATGCCAGGTCAATGGTCATTTAGAAACACTATTTAATATGTGCTTCACTTCAGCAGAGCTTTGAGTAAAGGGGGTTCAGACATTTAGACCCGATTTTTCTGCATTAAAAACGACAGCTTCCAACTTTCCTAGTGATAGTAACAGACAATGATAATAAATGTCAATGGTTTCTGATGCCTGCTTTTGCACATCCGTCATAGAAGGATGTTACATTATTAAAATCTGTAACAATGTAGCTCATGAGATAAGTGTGAGGCCATATGACAGTCACCGGGGGGCTTGGGGCCAAGGAGGGGACTGGCGAACGGCTGCTGCCCGGCAAAGCAACTTCCGAGCACCGCTAGGGTCATCTTGGATCACACGACGGGATAACGTCTTTCAGTTAACATAATTGAGCCTTAGTTCCGTTTAAGACTTTATATAGCTTAATGTAAAAAGGGAGAGACTTCTGCCTGGATTATCCATAAGGTCCTTTCCAACTATGACGACCTTTTAGGACACTGTAAATACTTTTTTCTTCCTGGAAGATATAGCATATGCAGTAGGAAGAACATAAGCCAGATATACTCAGGTTTCAATACAGGGTCTGGGACCTGCTGGTCATGTGACTTTAAAATTACATTCCTTCTAAACCTCATTTCTTCCTCTGGAAAATTGTCTGCTATTCCTTATCTTAGGAGGTGATGGTGAGGCATAAATGAACTATCACATAAGGAGCCTTTCCTTAATTCACCCAATACATATGGCACAAAATGTATTCCCTGATGATTTTTTCTTTTTTTAGACGGTCTTGCTCTGTTGCCCAGGCTAGAATGCAGTGGCATGATCCCGGCTCACTGCAACCTCTGCCTTCCGGTTGAAGCGATTCTCCTGCCTCAGCCTCCTGAGTACCTGAGATTACAGGCATACACAACCAGGCCCAGTTAATTTTTGTATTTTTAGTAGAGACGGGGTTTCACCATGTTGGCCAGGCTGGACTCGAACTCCTGACCTCAGGTGATCTGCCCACCTCGGCCTCCCAAAGTGCTGGGATTACAGGCGAGAGCCGCTGCTCCAGGCCCCAGTGATTATTTTTAAAATTAAAGTAGGCGTTGCCAGCTGTGGCCCCTGCCCCTGCCGTTAGGTGGCGGGATTCCTCGGCCCTTTGGCGGGAGGCGGGCCGGCCTCAGCTTCCTTCCGGGCCTTGGAGCGTGTGCAAGTGCGTGAGTGTGTGTTGACCGACCCCACGGCGTGTGTCTCCGGCCGCGGGTTCCACCTCCTCCCCTGCCGCCGCTGCTCACGGTGTAAGTCAGTGTGAAGCAGCAGCTCGCCGCGGGTTCCACCTCCTCCCCTGCCGCCGCTGCTCACCGTGTAAGTCAGTGTGAAGCAGCAGCTCCAGCCCCGGGATGAACGTGGCAACGTCTCTGCATGAGGGACCCATGAACCAGCTGGATCTGCTCATCTCGGGGGTGGAAGCATCTGCTCACAGCAGTAATGTACACTGTACAGATAAGACAGTCGAAGCTGCTGAAGCCCTGCTTCATGTGGAATCTCCTACCTGCTTGAGGGATTCGAGAAGTCCTGTGGAAGTATTTGTCCCTCCTGTGTATCAACTCCAGAATTTATCCATGCTGCTATGAGGCCAGATGTCATTACAGAAACTACAGTGGAGGCGTCAACTGAAGAGTCTGAACCAATGGATACCTCTCCTATTCCTACATCACCAGATAGCTGTGAACCAAGGAAAAAGAAAACAGTTGGCCATAAACCAAAGACCCAGCAATCACCAATTTCCAGTGGATCTCCTGAGTTAGGTATAAAGAAACTGAGAGAAGGAAAAGGAAACACAACCTATTTGTGGGAGTTTCTTTTAGATCTACTTCAAGATAAAAATACTTGTCCCCGGTATATTAAATGGCCTCAGAGAGAAAAAGGCATATTCAAGCTGGTGGATTCAAAAGCTGTCTCTAAGCTTTGGGGAAAGCATAAGAACAAACCAGACGTGAACTATGAAACCATGGGACGAGCTTTGAGATACTATTACCAAAGGGGAATTCTTGCAAAGATTGAAGGACAGAGGCTTGTATATCAGTTCAAGGATATGCCGAAAAACATAGTGGTCATAGACGATAAAAAAGTGAAACCTGTAATGAAGACTTAGCAGGAGCTATGGATGAAAAATTATTAGAACAATGTCACTGTCTGCAGAAAGTCTCCTGAAAGCAGCATCCTCTGTTCATGGTGGAAGAAATTCATCCCCTATAAACTGCTCCAGAGCAGAGAAGGGTGTGGCTAGATTTGTGAGTATCACTTCCCCTGGTCATGATGCTTCATCCAGGTCTCCTGCTATCACTGCATCTGTATCAGCAACAGCAGCTCCAAGGACAGTTCGTGTGGCAATGCAAGTACCTGTTGTAATGACGTCATTGGGCCAGAAAATTTCAGCTGTGGCAGTTCAGTCAAATAGTGCAGGTGCACCATTAATAATCAGCACTAGTCCAACAACAGCCACCTCTCCAAAGGCAGTCATTCAGGCAATCCCTACTGTGATGCCAGCTTCTACCGAAAATGGAAACAAAATCACCATGCAGTGTCCCCAAATTATTTCCATCCCAGCTACACAGCTCGCTCAGTGTCAACTGCAAAGTCAAATCTGACTGGATCAGGAAGCATTCACATTGTTGGAGCTCCATTGGCTGTGAGAGCCGTTACCCCTGTCTCAATAGCCCATGGTACAGCCGTAATGAGACTATCAGTGCCTCCTCAGCAGGCATCTGGGCAGACTCCTCCTCGAGTTATCGGTGTAGTCATACAGGGGCCGGAGGTTAAATCAAAAGCAGTGGCAAAAAAGCAAGAACGTGATGTGGAAACTTTGCAGTTCGTAGAAGAAAAACTGGCTGATGGAAATAAGACAGTGACCCATGTAGTGGTTGTCAGTGTGCCTTCAGCTACTGCCCTTCCTGTAACTATGAAAACAGAAGGACTAGTGACATGTGAGAAATAAAATAGCAGCCCCACCATGGACTTCAGGCTGTTAGTGGCAGTACTGACATAAACATTGGCAAGGGAAGTCATCAAGAAAAGTCAAAGAAGACTTTAAAACATGTTTAATGCATGTAAGAAAACAAGCGAACTTACTGGAAATAAATTACCTATCCCATGTTTCAGTGGGAAATAAACTATGTATTGAGATGCTGACAGAAAACTGCCTCTTCCAGTAGGAAAAACAACTGAACCCGTCGCTAAGAAAAAGGATTGAAAGGGACCAAGCAGCTCACTAAGATATCAAGTTACACTAAGACTTTGAACACTAAAATTCTGTAAGAGGTTATATAGTTTTCTGTGTCAGTGGGGAGGGGTTGGGATGGGTGATCTCATTGTTACATATAGCAATTTTTGATGCATTTTATGTGTGTACCAGCAATCATTACTGTGTTTGCACAGTACTCAACTGGTGCTATGTGAACACTGTCCTAATATATGTATTTTAGAATGTGAATTGAAGAATGGATCCAAAAACTTCAGAAAGAGGATAGCAAAAAAAGGTCTGGTGTGATTAAAATATATATATAGATGATATAGCTTAAGCTGATTTAAAACAAAGGCCTTAGACTAATTTTCGGTTTTCTTTCTCGAAATAAACTAATGGCTTGTTTGTGTAAAGCTTTTTTATAAAATGAAAAAATTTTAAAATCTTGTACCTAGCACAGTACTGTTACAGAGTTTACATGTAAGATTTTATATGGTAGTTTAAGTCTGTGTTTCTTAATTGTGGACAAATTAACAGTTGGCCCTGGCCTTTTGCTATAACATGTCTGTGTCACTCGCTTAGCCCTGGCATTTCTGCAGCCATATCAGTTTCAGTTCTACTGTCACTTGGAAGTTCAGGATCAGCATGACTTTTTGTTAGGTAGCTCTAATACCTGGAGTGAGCTAGCTTGCTTTCTTTCTTTCTTTCTTTCTTTCTTTCTTTCTTTCTTTCTTTCTTTCTTTCTTTCTCTTTCTTTTTTCTTTCTTTCTCTTTCTTTCTTTCTTTCTTTCGTTCGTTCTTTTCTTCTTTTTCTTCTTTCTTTCTTTTCTTCTTTCTTTCTTTCTTTCTCGCTCTCCTTCCTTCTTTTCTTTTCCTTTTCTATTCTTCTTTTCTTTCCTCCCTCCCTCCCTTCCTCCCTCCCTCCCTTCCTTCTTCCTTTCTTTCTTTTCTTTTTTTTTGTTTTAGTTGAAGTTTATGACGGAAAGTACCAGTGTTCAGATTTGAACTATAATGGTTTGTATATTCAACATTTGAAGTCTGTTCTATTTTGTTGGACTGTTGTTTCAAAGTGTATTTAAGTAGGTTTTCTGAAATTTAGAAATGAAATTTAAAAAATAATAAAAATAAAGTACATATACAATTTGCAATTGCAAAGATATGGAACCAACATAACTGCCCATCAGCCAACGAGTGGATAAAGAAAATGTGGTATATATACACCATGGAATACTACTCAGCCATACAAAGGAATGAAACAATGTCTTTTGCACTAACTTGGATGGAACTGGAGGCCATTATCCTAAGTGATGTAACTCAGGAATGGAAAACAAAATATCGTATGTTCTCACTTATAAGTGGAAGCTACACTATGAGGATGCAAAGGCATAAGAATGATATAATGGGCTCTAGGATCTTGGAAAGAAGGGTGGGAGGGGGTAAGGGACACTGCTCAGGTGACAGGTGCACCGAAATCTCAGGAATCACCACTAAATAATTTATCCATGTAACAAAAAACCACCTGTTCCCCAAAAACTGTTGACATAAAAATAAATATTAAAAAAATAAAGTGGATATACAGGTGACCCTTGAACAGTGTGGGGGTAGAGGCACCGATCCCTGCACAGCTGAAAATCTGAGTATAACTTTTGATTCCCCTATGAATAGCTTGCTGTCATCCAGATGCCTTACTGATAACATAAAGTCTTTAATTAACACATATTTTGTATGTGCATGATGTACTGTTTTCTTAAAGTAAGCTGGAGAAAAGAAAATGGTATTCAGAAAATCACAAGGAAGGAAAAACACGTTTACTGTTCATGAAGTGGATCATCACAAAGGTGTTCATCCTCTTCATCTTCACATCGAGTAGGCCGAGAAGGAGGAGGAAGAGGAGGGGTTGGTTTTGCTGTCTCGGGGGTGGCAGAGATGGAAGAAAATCCATGTCTAGGTGGACCCATGCAGTTCAAGCCCATCTCCTGGGATGAAGGCAGAAGCATCTCCTCTGCCTGGCTCTTCTCTTACACACAAGGCACTGAGGCAGGAGTGCATTGTGGCAGAGGAGGCAGCTTTCTCAAGGAGCTCTGCCAGTGTTATGGCTTGACATGTGACTGCAACTGTGGTGCTCCGTCCAACTTGCCACAGAGTCGGGTGGGAGTCCTCCTGGGCTGGAGCTGGGGCTATGGTAAGTAACGCAGCACAGGCTGCACAGCTGTGTGTTAGGAAGCTCAAAGGATTCTTGAAGAAGTCTGGCCTCATTACTGTCTTATCTCCAATCACAGGTAGCTAGAGGTGGTGGCCATGAACTGCACCCGGTCAGCAGGTGCCCTACTGTGTACCAGGCACTGTTCCAGGCTCTGGGTATACAGCACAGGACAGAATAAACAAAACTCATCTGCTTGGTCCTCATGTCTGGTGGAAGAAAACAGGCAGTACATCAGGTCTGAAGTGGGGAACTCCATCAGTAAATATGTATTGTCTGGGACTGAATTCTCGACCACTGGGTCCTACCACCCCTGAGCAAGAGCTGTGTCCCATTCCTCCTCGTTCTCCTCTGGCTCCTCTTTGTGTCAGGCCCAGGAGATTTGAGTTTGGGGGTGCCCCATTGAACAGGTGCCTGCTGAAAGGTAGCAGGCTGGCCCCAGCACATTAGGCTTGAGTTCCACACAGAAAGTCACTTTCACATGGTAAGACCTTGATGTGGATTGTACAAAAGGCCCAGGGGGCAGGACTTCCTCAGCAAAGCAACCATTTAACTGGAGAAAATTAATTAAAAGGTAAAACATAAACCAACAACCATTTAAAGCCTCTAGTAGTTGTTCTAAGGGCAAACAGCAAAGGGAAAACGTCATTCAAGAAAACCTATGAAATCTCAATCAAAATAGCAAGAGTCTATGGCATTTGAGCCAGGGCTTGTACCCCTACAGCCTTTTCATCAGCTCTGTGTGGTGGGGACTCCCTCTACCCTCAGCTCCCAGTCCAAACTCCAGCTTCACACCAGTGGGGGAGGGCCATGTGCATATCCTGTCTTCCCCAGGCTTATGATGTGGAAATGCTACCTGGTGGGCTCAGCATGGAGGACTGGGACTTCCCTCGTCACATAGCCTCCATTTGTAGGGTGAGAGTTTTGCCCAGGACAAAGAATACAGGGGCTCGATTGCCCTACTCCAGCTCATTGGTAGGAAGGAGCTTCCAGGCCCAGCAATAGAAGATGCATCATTAAGGGACCTTGAGCCTTTCTGGCTCCAGGGACTTGAGCACAGCCTCTGACCACACACTGGCTAAACAACAGTTACTCTGACCCAAGGCTGACTCCTAGGAAGCCAGGTCTAAAAATAAAATCATACCGATTCCTGGTCATTTGGAAGACTGTGCACACGCCGAAGGCTACGCCTTTTTGGGAAAGAGAAACTCTGAGCTACCAGACGCTGGCTAAATGCAGGGCAAAATCATGAACTATCTGAGCAGTGAAAGCAGTCTGCAGCCACACACAGACGCAGTGCTAAAGGTGAAAATCTAATTGGCTAAGCAGCTTAAGCACAGTCTTTTACCAATAAGTGGTTTATGCAGACCCAGGGTGAACCCTAGGATGCTGGGGTAAAAGACATACTCAAGGGGAAAATAGCTGAGCCAGGACATCACACTGCAAGGGAAATAAGACTTCACAGATTCAGCCCAGCCATGTCACTAATCAAGTAAACAACCAAAATGACAAAAAAAAAAAAAAAAAAAAAATCAAGCCACCAAATGGGATGTTAGTATCCAGAGTTACTACAAGGTACTATTTAATGTCCAGTTTTCAACAAAAAATTAGGCTTACAAAGAAACAGAGAATAGCTGATACCCAGGAAAAACAACAGGCAATAGAAACTGCCTTTAAGGGGGCTCAGATGTTGGACCAAGCAGGTGCATACTCAAAGTAGGATTGCAAATGTTTTCAGAGGACTAAGGAAACCACGTGTAAATAATTTTAAAAGGGTTTGATAGCAATGACTCATACATAGAGACCGTCACTAAAGAGAGGAATTACAAAAAAGAGCCAAATGGGAATTTTGGAATGGAAAAGCACAATGACAAAAATTTAAAAATCGCTAGAAATGCTCAACAGGAGATTTGAGTTGTTCAAATAGAAAGGATCAGCAAACTTTGAAGGTAGATATACAGGATAGGTAGAGATTATGCAGCTTGAAGAACGGAAAGAAAAAAATACAGAAAAATGAGCAGAGCCCTGGAGAAATGTTGACCACAAGCTCACCCTACGTAAGCACACACAATGGGAGCACCAAAAAGGCCGTGGAAGATCTCTCTCTCCAGAACCGTTAAAATGTGAGTATTTCAGCTACGCCAGGGGTATTACCTATAACAGATTTTCCAGACTTAAATTTATTATTATTATTATTCTTTAAGAAACAGTGTCTTGTTCTGTCAACTGGGCTGGAGTGCAGTGGTGCAGATTAAAGTTAACTGCAGCCTCCACCTTCTGGGCTCGAGTGATCCTCCTATCTCTGCCTCCTGAGTAGCTGGGAACACAGACACGCACCACTGCATCCAGTGCTGAGTAATGATCTCATTTCTGACATCTCCAGCTATTGTCAAAGGAGGCATCATTCTGGGGGAGGAGTCCTGTGAAGACCTGGATGATCTGGGGAATAAAATGAGGAAAGAATTAGGAGAATTGACGGACATTTCAATAACAAACCTTTTCCATTCCCATCAGCTTAATTTTGTGATGGAGTTTTCCAGAAGTTATATCTACAAAGCACAAAAAGTAGGAAAAGAATTAATTCCGAGCTATGTTGCATTCTGGCAGTGGTATATTTATCCTGTTACATTTTAAAATGAGAAAATTCAAACTGGACGCAGTAGCTCACACCTGTAATCCCAGCACTTTGAGAGGATCACTTAAGCCCAGGAGTTTGAGATCAGCCTGAGCAACACAGCAAGACTCCATCTCTACAAAAAATAGAGTGAGTGTAGTGACATACACCTGCAGTCCCAGCCACTTGGGAGACGGAGGCGGGAGGATCCCTTGAGCCCAGGAGTTCTACAAGGAACCACAATCACGCTACTGCATTCTAGCTTGGGTGACAGTGTGAGAGCCCAACTCAAAAAAAAAAAAAAAAAAAAAAAAAGAACATTCATCATATGAGTGATACATTTCCAATTAAAATTTCCTCCTTGCATTAACACAATTTGTAAATCAGCATTTATAACATTTATGTTGTTTTCATTAGTTGCATACAATAACAACATCGTAATCATGATTCAAACCAGAAAATACTTTAAACTCCTGAAGTCTTTTGGTCACGGGGAATAGAGAACTTTTTTTTTTTTTTTTGAGACAGGTTCTCACTCTCGCTCAGGCTGGGGTGCAGTGGTGCAAGCACGGCTCAATATAGCCTCAACCTCCTGGGCTCAAGCAGTCCTCCTGCCTCAGCCTCCCAAGTAGCTGAGACTACAGGCACACACACCATGCCTGGTTAATTTTAAAAAATTATTTTTTAGAAATGGGGTCTCATTATGTTCCCCAGGCTGAACTTGAACTCCTGGCCTCAAGCAATCCTCCTGCTTAGGCCTCCTAAAGTGCTGGGATTAGAGGCGTGAACCACCGCACCCAGCCTCCAAACTTTTTTGACTGAGAACTATGATAAGCAATACATTTTACATTGCAACAATCTGACACTTATATGTGTGTGTGGATTGGAAACAGAAATTTCTTGAAATAATACTTATTCTTACTATATGTGATTTACTCCAATTTTAAAAATTCTATTTCCTTAAATTTTTTAAAATTTGATTTTTATTAATTTATGTATTTCTTTTCTTTTAATTTTTAAGTTTTTAATTTTGCAAGAGACAGGGTCTGTGTTGCCTGGGCAGGCGTGGCTACTCACAGGTGTGATCCCACCACTGATCGGCACAGGAGTTTCAGCTGCTCTGTTTCCAAAGCAGGCTGGTTCATTCCTTCTTAGGCAGCCTGGTGGCCCGCTGCTCTTCATGCTGAACTTAGTGCAGATACCTGATGGGTGTCACCCGATGGGCACCGCGCACTGCAGGGCAGAACTCCTGGGTTCAAGCAATCCTTGAGCCTCCCAAGCAGCTGGGACTACAGGCACCTGCCACCCTGGCTGGCTATTTCTTTTAAAATTTTCTTTATATTGGTGGTCACAGCCCATTGCAATGATCTCAGGACCCTCTAATGGGCAGCCTGCTGGATGAGAAATGCTGTGCTAGAGGGTGCTTCTGCCTACTCTTTTTTTTTTTTTTTGAGTGGAATTTCACTCTTTTTGCCCAGGCTGGAGTGCAGTGGCATGATCTCGGCTCACTGTAACCTCTGTCTCCTGGATTCAAGTGATTCTCCTGCCTCAGCCTCCTGAGTAGCTGGGATTACAGGTGTACACCACTAAGCCCGACTAATTTTCTATTTTTAGTAGAGACAAGGTTTCACCATGTTGGCCAGGCTGGTCTCGAACTCCTGACCTCAAGTGATCCTTCCACCTCGGCCTCCCAAAGTGCTGGGATTACAGGCGTGAGCCACTGCGACTGGCCTCTTCTGCCCACTCTTAACCAAAAGATCGAGAAATGCCTTGTCCTGCAGAACCAGCGGGTTCTCAGCATCTCTTGCCTGCTCTTCAGTGCTCTTGTATCCTGCCTGATTGCTGTGATTCCTTCAACATTTATTCATCCCACCGGTGAAGGTAACAGTGATTTGCTGAGCATTAACTGTATATCAGACACTGTTCTGGGCTCTCAGAATACGTCATGGAACAAAATAAGCAAACAGATGCCTGTCTTTGTTATTCTCAAATCCTGGTTGAGGGAAACAGATAGTAAGCAAGGTAAATAAGTGGAGTCAATAGCTTGTTACATGGTGACAGGGGCTATGAAGTAAAATAAAGCCAGGGCAGAGGTTGCAGTGAGCCGAGATCGTGCCTCTGCACTCCAGCCTGGGCGACAAGAGCAAGATTCCATCTCAAAATAAATAAATAAATGAAATAAAGCCAGGAAAAGGCAATGGGGGGTGTGGGGTGCATGCTTGAATAAAGACTGGGAAGAGATGAGAAATGAGCCTCAGAAATAAACTTTATAGGCAGAGGGAGCAGCAGGTACAAAGGCCCTGTTGGGGGACCATGCCTGGAAAGTTCAAGGAGTTACAAGGACAGAATGGCTGGGGTGGCCTGAGCAAGAAGAATAGACAGAGAGTTCAGAGAAATAACGATCCAGTTACACAGGGCCTCGCCACCCGTGTAAGACTCTGCTTGGCTCACAACCCTTGGAGAGTTCTGAGCAGTGGGCTGGTGTGATCAGACACATATTTTAACAGCGTTGCTTTGGCTCCTGTGTGGAGATTAGGATGAAGGGTGCAAGGAAGGACCCAGGGACACCAATTAGAAAGCCCATATAGCACACAGGCAAGAGAAGAGCTGGGTGGTCAGCCCGGGGCACAGCGGTGGAACTGGCAAGTGCTGGCTGCCTTCGGTGCTATCTGGAAGGTAGAGTTACGGGACCCGCTCATGGGTCGGATATGGGGTTCGAGAGACAGGACTCATGGAGGGGTCCCTCATCTAACACAAGGGTGCTGGCCTTGAGTCCCATTCCATTCAATGTAATTTTAGCTGGTGGGGACTGACGGAGATATTTACACTAATAAAGAAGGTGCTGGAAGCTCAAGATCCCATCTCCATTAAAACAACAACAACAGAAAACCAGATCTGATTGTCTGATTCTGGCAGGAGAGGGAATTGAAGCAAATGCGTGGATGCAGCCCCTGTCCCAATGCCCTTCTCTGTCCCCAAATCTCATGCTCCTGACCACTCTGACGCAGTCCACATGTGGCCCTGGCTCACTGCTAGCAGAGCTGCTATGTCCTAGATAACGGTGGTTTCCAGTTTTCTTCTTTAATCTGAGCAAAAGGAAAGTGATGGGGGAGACACCAGGTATTCCCTGTTTGTGCCGTGCCTGTGTCTGGACAGAAGGAAACTCTCCCCTGGCTGTCTGTGCCGCTTTCTGCTCTGTCTGCTCATTTCTGCATCTTGAGGGTGGCTGAGGATGGGACAAAGAGCTCCACTCCATCACTACGAGGTGAGGGTCACCTTCCAGGGTGTGCCGATGTCCCCCTGCGGCCATCCCAGTGCCACCTGGGACCTTCTGGGCTCCCTGCACCCAAGTCTGAGGCAAGGAGGCCAGATAGCCTTGTTCTTCCTGAGGCAGCCAGTCTGGGTGTCTGGGAGGGGGTACAAGGAAGTTGGTGCCCTATTTTTCCATTTCTGACCATCTAGTTTCACTGATACTGTTTTTAACAAATGCTACATATTTGTGCTCTGGAGGGACTATCTTTATGTAGCTAGCAGAACTAAATGAATCCTTTCAGGGATCCTAACATGAATTATTGGCTTTAATGGCTTCTCCATTCTGCTTAAGCAGAATTCCATCTTGCAGTTTGTAACACTTGCTTCACTGGTGCCTCCTTGCTCCCCACCAGCTTCATTCTTCAGTGCTTCACCTGAACATGGAGGGATGCCATGCTGTTCAAGACAGTCTTGCAGGGAAAAATAAACTACATGTTTTTGGTGACTGGATGGGATTAGGCCACCCTGTATGCCCTGTAAAACATGTAGCGTGCACAGTTTCTGCTAAGTAGAAAATGGAGAATGCAGAGGTGGAAAGCCTTGTAAAGAAAACCACATGTTCTGGCATGCAGGTCACTTGCTATCCTCCTGAGAAGTGTCTTCAGTTCTGGCTTGGACATGCGGATCCATCAATGCCACCTCCGGCAGCACTGCTGGGATTCAAACGCGAGGCACGGCCTCTTGGCAGGCAGCGTGGTCTTAGCGCTCTGCACTCTCCCAGTCCCAAACCAGCAGGCTGCTTTCTTACTTCGTTAGCGTTTTGACTGGAGCAGTTCTTGATTAGTGGTTTCTTTGAGCAAATTGTTCTTCAGATGGATGGGTCAATGCTTGCTCAATGAAATCATTCTTGTTAAATCAAGGTTATTCTAGATAATGCTTCCCTCCATGGAATTCATTTTTCTGTGTCTAAGTGAGACGTTGCAGTGCATTATGCACTGAGGAAATGCATTTACATTAGGAGAGGTTAGATAAAGGGGCTTCCCTGTTGCTGAGGGTCTCTTCTGGTCCATCTGGTGCTGCTGCTACTGGGATTCCCAGCCCATAGGCTTCAATACAGGCCCTCTTGTGGTTTTCATGCAAGTCCTGAGCAGGAAAAAAGACTTAAGGATTTGGCCAGAGAAGGTTTTCAGAGCCAAATATCCAGGCTGTTTTTTTTTAATGGACTTTGCTGATTTTGGCAAACTTTTCCATTTATAACACTTAGTACATTTACAAATAATAATGTGAGTTGAGACGGGAGAGCAAGTGTTTCCTGATGATACAGTCAGATTTCATTGTTTATGATACCACCACAAAAAGAGGCAATTTCAATGTTTTGCACACATGCATTGTTTTAATAACATGTTTTTGCCAGGCGAATTAGTAGCACATGGAGATGGGTGTTATATGTGTGGGTGTGAGCACTGACAAAGTCTTCCTCAGTTGAGATGGTTTATACGCTAAACTGGACCATTTGCAGATTGGTACACAGAAAGTGACTAAGTGCAGAGAATACTTTGACATAGATATTTTAAAAACAAGCATACAAAAATAATTCTTGGAGTAATAGGCAATAAATTTAAAACAATAAAATGTAAAAAGATAGATTCATGATTTTTAGGAGCCAGTGATGCTATTTCACTTGTTGTTACAAGCTCGTGCATGGAGTCCAGGCTTCTTCTAGTATAGTAGGTCCAAATGAGGTGAGTTGCTATGCGGAGGTGCAGAAAAACTTGAAGAAACAGCCAAAGCCAATTGAAGCATGAAAATATGTTGAAGACTTAGACTGATGTCATGGATGTGAGGTAAAGCAGAGAGAATTCCTGTTCAGTATACCTTTCATCCAGCTTCCCCTAATGTTAGCATCTGACACATTTGTATTACAATGGTCAAAATCAGGAAATTAACATTAGTCCAATATTAAGTAAAGTACAGACCTTGGTTGGTTTTCTATTAATGTCCTTTTTTCTGTTGCAGGATGCAATCCAGGGTCCCATATTACAGTTAGCTGCCATCTGTCCTGAGTGTCCTCCAATTATCACAGAGACCATTAGTAACAACAATGACAATCGTTACACTTTACATTTCCACCTTGTCTCACGGGATTATACTGCTTAGGTTTCATCCTAGGGATGTAGGATTCCGTCTCGCAGTGCAGCATCTCAGGAGTCAAAGCCCTGTGAGCTAACTTCTCTGGCATGAAGCTCTCTGATAGCTTCTCTGTGTTCATGAGACTTAGCCATCAAGAAAGTGGGAGTTCTTTGATTTGTGAGATTATTCAATATCAGAAAAGCACTAATTGCATTCTACACATCTTCATACGGAGAACAGTAAATAAATAAACACATCAACAAATAAATAGCTACCATTTACTGGGAATGCCAGGAAATATGAACCTGATTTATTTTTCTGTTTTCTCTTTTTACAGTTTCACTATGTTTTATTTTTTCATATAGCCCCCTGTTCTGTTTCTAAAAGTCATCATGGATGGTGGCACTTTAACTTTTTACAGTTGTGGTTCCTGGCATTGACCTTTGACATTACCGTTACAATGATGATAATAAAGATAATGAAAACTATTTTATATGCAATTTCTATCCTGAAATTTATAGGGCTTTAATATTTCTTCCCTTATTCATCCTCAGAGCATACCTGGGAAGTAGGAGAGAAAATTGTTAGTACCTCCATCACGTGGGCGACATCTGTCATTTCAATTTGATATTTGCATCGACTTGGACACCCGCACTCACCTCTTGGCAATGCTTTGTTTCCTTGTCTCTTAGGACGGAACATGCTGCTGGTTTTTCCATGTCTCGGTCTCCTTCTGCTGAGTATTCTTCTATTTCAATCATGGGTGTAGCAGCCCATTTCAACATACTGAAAACACTCACCCTAGGTAAGTATCCATCCCTGTACCTCTGCTCCATTTAAATGGCAGCTGCTCTGGGTTCCAGGTGGCAGTGTTAGCACCTGTTCGTTTACTAATGGAGGTCTAGAACATAAGGTGCAGCATCTGGCAAAGAGTACGGGCTTGGGAATTAACTGCTGAGTAAACCTCATTCCAATCCTGTCTGTCTCTCCAAACTCCAGACCACATATCCGACGACTTGCTCAACATCTCCAGATTAACAGCTCACAGGACTTCACACTTGACATTTCCCAAGCCTGCTTCCTGCCCAGGATGCCCTTTTGTAGAAAGCAGCCCCACCGTACAAGCCATTGTCAGGCCGGCTTCCTGGGAGACTGACTCCAGTCTCCTCCCATCACCTCATTTCACATATTAATTCACCGCCAAATCTTGGTGTTTCTCTTTCCTGAATAGTTCTCACACTTATCCACGTCTCCTTCACCCCCACTGGCACGACCCGGATGTGGGACAGCACCAGCTCTCTCCACTGCAGCCCCTTCCCTGGCTTCCAGTCTCATTCCCCGTCAGTCCCTTCTCTTCTCTGCTACCAGGGTAGAACTTTTTTTTTTTTTTGAGAAGGAGTCTTGCTCTGTCACCCAGGCCTCAGTTCAGTGGCACGGTTTTGGTTCACTGCAACTTCTGCCTCTCAGGTTCAAGCAATTCTCCTGCCACAGCCTCCCGAGTAGCTGAGATTACAGGCACCCACCACCACACCCGTCTAATTGTTACTTTTTTTTGGTAGAGACGGGGTTTCACCATGTTGGCCAGGCTGGTCTTGAACTCCTGACCTCAGGTGATCCACCCGCCTGGGCCTCCCAAAATGCTGGGATTCCAGGCATGAGCCACCGCACCTGGCCCCAGGGTAGAACTTTTAAAATGCAATCTGGTCAGCATTGTGGCCCAAAAGCCTTCAATAGTTTCCCAGTTCACTCAGGAGAAAGCCATATTTTTCAGGTTTTGACTCGTGTCAATTTTAAGGAAGACTTCTTACATCTGGACCCAACACACACATACCCGCGTGAGTGCACACACACACACACACACGTGAGTGCACACACACGCACACACACATATTTTGATGGGTCATGATGCTCAGATAAGGAATAAAGATGTGTGGGATAAAGATAAATGTAAGTAAAGAGTAAAGCCCATCTGCACTGTGTTCCTGTCCCCGCCACCCTCCCTGGCCTCTCGCGGCCAGGTCTGAAGGGCTGTGTTCTCACGTGGTGAGACATGAGGTTTCCTCCACCTGCAACGACCCCACCCCCAGCAAACATCCCCCTCACCTCTTTCACTCCACCCTTTAGGGCTCAGCCGACATGTGCCTTCTCCATGGAGGCTGTGCCCGACACGCCCTCCCTCCTCCCAGCCTTAGTTCCAGCCTGTTAACTTTCAGCCTGTGTCACTTATGAGATGAATAATGATGTTTTCGCTCCATGAGGGCAGGGGCTGCGTTTGTCTTTCTCACTGCTATATTCAGAGTGTCCGGCCTCAGACAAGTACTAGATATTTGCTAAGTTACCAGATTGATTAATCAGACTCTTTCTGTGTCCTGGTCAAGCTCATGAACTTAAATCTGTGAAGATAAAAACATTGCTTCCTGATTGAAAATGAATTATTTGGCAGTGTGAAACTGGTTTGGGTTTCTCAGCTGGGTATCCAGGAGTACCATATCTTATATAGTTCAAGAGGACATTTATAGAACTGTAAATTCATGCGCGCTTAATGCTTAACTATTTAAATAGCCTTACAATTCCTTTAGTACATCATAAATGTCTAAGTTAAACAGCCCTTGGGTTCCTAAGATAAAAAACAGCAAATGAGATTTTATGATCAAATTGAAAATTAAATTGTAGATCTATACAATATATAAATTCTGGCAATACTGTGCTTACCTTAGTTGAAAATGTTATTTCGCTCATACAGTTCAGTATATTTTGAGCATCAACATAACTGTGTGATTATTGATACATTACTTTTATCCAGCTAGATACATTATACCACAATAGTAAAAACTGGAGAGAAACTTTTAATAACAACTTTATTAATCCATTGGCCAAATACATGTCATTATTAGAATGACATGGAGACCAAGATCTTAGGTTAGAAGTGTCTAACATTACTCTTTAGTATTTTCTTATTGTTTTATCATTGTAATGCTCTGCCTTATATTTGTTAAAATTTCTCAGCATAATTGATTCTTAGAAATCTTCTTCATCATACCCCAAACCCTCCATATCGTCCTCTGAAGGCAATTGTCCAGCCTGTACCTCCCTCCTGAGGCGCGTGTGCTGGAGCAGGCTCGGGCCTGGCTGAAGTCAAGTGTTTCATGCTCAAACAGCTAGAATGATGAGAAGGGCCTCACGTATGTGGAGTTGGAATCCTCCCCCATAGCTTTGGCCTCCTGGCTGTCTCTCTATCTGACTTCTGAATCCAACAGAACAAGGCCAAGTCTGTTTCCAAAGCCAGCTCCCCGGGAACTTAAAGGCAGCGGCTCACATCTGCTAGAATGTCCTCCAGCCGCCCTCGATTCCAGCCAGTTATCCCTAGTGTGGCATGATTTCTGCCTCTGTCAAAGACTTGGTCTCCCTTTTTGGAATCTAGGAAACCCACACTGCTTTTCAGAG
Organism: Homo sapiens; assembly: GCF_000001405.40. Taxonomy (NCBI): domain Eukaryota; kingdom Metazoa; phylum Chordata; class Mammalia; order Primates; family Hominidae; genus Homo; species Homo sapiens. The sequence continues at coordinate 1,499,811 of NC_000006.12, read as the reverse complement.
GGAAAAAGGGAGCCCCTTAGTCAGTGTATCAGCCAGGGCCCAACAGGGAAATTTGAACAGGGAAAATTTAATATAAAGAATTATTAGCCAGGCACGGTGGCTCATGCCTGTAATCCCAGCACTTTGGTAGGCCTAGGCGGGCAGATCACCAGAGGTCAGGAGTTTAAGACCAGCCTGGCCAACAGGGTGAAACCCCGTCTCTACTAAAAATACAAAAAAAATTAGCCGGGCGTGGTGGTGTGTGCCTGTAATCCCAGTGGGAGGCTGAGGCAGGAGAATCACTGGAACCCGGGAGGTGGAGGCTGCAGTAAGCCGAGATCGTGCCACTGCACTCCAGCCTGGGTGACAGAGCGAGACTCCATCTCAAAACAGAAAACAACAACAAAAATAATTATTAACATAACAGGGGACTGGCGTCCTGAAGGATTGGCTAGTTAGAAGTGGACTCAAGAGTAAAGAAATAGCATATATATAAGGAGTGGCCAGCCCCCCATGGGCTGAGATACATTTCCCAAGAAAGGGCTCCTGTTCCCCAACCTGAGGTTCAAACCTAGTTAGAAAGATCTAATCAGCCATGGTTATGCCTCCCTGAATGGCAGAGAAACTGCTCTGGTACTGTATGGGAGGACTTTCTGGAAATCCATCCTTCAGAACTTGCTAGAAATCTCCCCTCTAGTATCAGGGGAAAGGTATTCACCAAGAGACATCTTGCCAAAGGCCTGAACCCAAGGTGGAGGTCTGGAAGGGAGTCCCTGGCCACTGGGGATTGCTGGCTGCCATGTCCTACAGGAGCCTCGACAAGAGGGCCCACTGGAACCAGGACAGAAAGCCCCTTCCTTCTATAATCTTTCTCTAATGCCCTCTACTGACAAAGCTTAGCACTGCCAGCTGGCAAAAGAAGCATACTTAGTGGGCCAGCTATGTTTTGTAGGTAGACAATGAATGGGTGAACATGGAGCTGTTGATAAACTGACAGTGGGCACAGGTGACGGACAGGTGGCTTGGGTCATGCCATGAACACATCCCTGTGTTTGCCCTGAATCCCTGCCTTCTGCTGAAGCTGAGTCATGTTGGTGCTGTGAACACTTTGGGCTGGAGGGAGCATCTGGGGTGGGCGGACCCGCATGGTGAGGGAGCATGAGACATGGCTGCTGTGGTGTGGGCTGGGAGGCTCGTGTGACCCACTGGCCCCAGATGGCAGATGCCTGGGAAAGAGTACTGGGCTATGTGCCCACATCCCGCCCTCTCCTCACCCTGGCCACGTCTCACCCAGGTTGAAGGCCCTGCAGCAGTGGGACACTTGACCTCCGTAAGATGAGGCTCTGCTCTGCTGAAGTCCCAGTTAACTGCAAGGGTCCAGTGAGGCAGCGGGAGAGCAGGATGCAGGTGCGGGCTGCTGGTGGGGCCGTTTCCCACTAGTATTATGAGTCGGCTTGGTCCCAGGTCTTTGTTCATGGATGGCTTTTTGCTTCTGAGATAGAGTCTGTGGTGGAGGAAAATAACCTCATGCATTAAAGAAAGTAGTTTTGAGGGGGTTAGGTGCATTTGTCCATTGGCCTGGGTCTCTGACTCTCTCCAATGATAAAGCACACATTATGACCCAGACTCCCCCAGTCACACCCAAGGGTGCTTGCCCTGTGCCTAACAAATTGCTGCAGGCCTGCAGGCCTCAGGAAGAGCAGCCCATCTCAAATGAGAAGGTTTCAGAGGCAGGAACAGTGAGTAAGGCACAATCCCACAGGCGCCCAGCTCAGACCAGCAGGATCTGAGGCCAGGGCCTGGCAGACGGAGCTGAGGGGAGAGGCTGCAAGTTCCCTTTTTGAAGAATTTGGTAGCACAACACAGGCACAGGAGAGCTGGAAGTGCAGACACAAAGGGGACACCTGGGGAAGCTTGAATGTTGAAAACAACCACGTGGTAGGGAGGATGCTGTGAGGTGACCTGACAGAGGAAAAAGAGCTTTCCCAGATGAAGGATTCAGCTCTGTTGCTGTGAACTGAGCTTCTACTCCAAGGACAGGCACTCTCCCTGCGGGATGCTGCAGAGCCCCCCTCGCTTGTACCAGACACCCCTGCAATCTGGGCCAAGGTTGTGTCCCACAGCACTGGCCAAGAGAGCCGCTTGCCAGTGGTTTCCTTGCTCTACATAAACCAGACACGGGCTCTGCTTGCCAAGCGCACTTTGCTGTCAGGCTGGGGGGGCTCGGGCCTGGCTCTGGGCTCTGCAGAGGGGAAAGTCAGTGTGCCCATCTGCTGCCCACCCTGGCCCTGCCTGGCTGGCCCAGCATCACACACGTCATTCATGACAGGAGCTTGCAGAGCTGAGTGAAATGCGAGATCCTTAATGGAACACTGAGCATCCTGTTTGTCCCTTTTTTTCAGCAGGTGGGACTTGTGCCTAACCTAACAGCCTGACTGTGGGAGCCAGGCTCACAGGGCAGCCATCTGTGCTGGTGCCTGAAAAACTCTGGCAGGTTTGGCCCTCCCCCCAGCACCCTGAAGAAGAGGCCCTGGGGTAGCATGCACAGGCGTGACCTAGGACTCCAGCCTGGCAGGTTTGGCCCTCCCCCCAGCACCCTGAAGAAGAGGCCCTGGGGTAGCATGCGCAGGCGTGACCTAGGACTCCAGCCTGGCAGGTTTGGCCCTCCCCCCAGCACCCTGAAGAAGAGGCCCTGGGGTAGCATGCGCAGGCGTGACCTAGGACTCCAGCCTCCTTGGCCGGTTGTCGTCACACCCCTGGGGCTTTTCCTATTCTCATGATCACGGGAGGTGGGCACAGTATTTCCATTGTACACAAGGGAGGAGTTCACATAATCATAACTTTCATTCTTGTCCCTGTATAGTATTTCAATTTCAGTTTAGTACATATGATTATCCAGTGTCTGAGTAAGAATATGCAGTGAGTTGGTATTCCTACTAGAGCAGTGAGAACTCAGTACTTGGGGAATGTGAATTACAGACAGGTCAATCGTCCTTTTAAGGAGGTATGAGGGTTGAATTATGTCCCCCGAAGTTTATATGTTGAAGTTCAAAGCCCCAGTACCTCAGAATGTAACTCTATTTGGAGATAGGGTCTTTACAGGAGCAAAGGAGTAAAAATGTAATCTTTAGAGTGGGCCCTAATCCCACCTGACTGGTGTCATTATTAGAAGAGGAGATGAGGATACAGACACACACACAGGGGAGGTGATGTGAGGACACAGGGAGAAGACACCACTTACAAGCCAAAGAGAGACCTCAGGAGAAACCAACTCCATAGACACCTAAATCTTGGACTTCCAGCCCAAGAATGGTGAGAAATAAAATTCTGTTTAACCATCCTGTCTGCAATATTTTGTTATGGCAGCCCTAGCAAACCAGTATAGGAGGTCAGGCAGTGTTCTAGCTTTTCATTGCTGCACAAGAAATTATTCCAAAACCTAGTGGTTTAAAATAACAGTCATATATATACATATAGTTCATGACTTTGTGGGTCAGGATTTCAGGCAGGGCTCAGCCAGGCGGTTCTTATTCTCTGTGTGGAATTGCCTGGCATCACTTGGTGGTATTCAGTGGGCAGACTGGCCAGTCTGGGTGGTCTGAGACTCACATATCTGATGCTGAGGGTGGGGTGTAGAAAGTGAGACACCCGAGCACAGCTGGGCTTAAAGACTGGAGTGCAGCTGCAGTCCACGGCCTCAGGGTAGCTGGACTTCTTATACGGTGGCTCGGGGATCTAAGAGCGAGGGTTCCAAAGAGCAACTGTAGGGCTATTTGTGACCTCACAGTAGAATGCAGCATCATTTCCACCACCATACTCTACTAGTCAGAGGAGCCAAGAGCCCACTCAGCTTTAAAAGGTGCAGGGAATTGTCCCCACCTCTCAGTAGGAAGAAAGGCAAAGACCTTAGTGTCCAACTGCCCTATGTGGCACCTTGGGGAGATCATGTGGGGCATGTTGGCATTCGGTGTATACCAGCCCCTGTCATTTCAGTAACAAGCTGACTGGATTTGGACAAATCCCTTGGGCTTTAGCTTCTACCCTGTAAAAACGATAAGAGAGATCAAAGGATCTCAGAGATGTTTCCAGTGCTAAGATTGTAGGAATGGATGTGCACCAGTAAAGTCTTGTTCAAATGCTATCTAAGTGTATCAAATATCTCCTGGGAAGTCAAGGGTGCGGTGTCTGAGAGGGTCTGAGGAGGGATGCATTTTGCTCTGCATTTGTGGTTGAATGACTAGAACTGGATTTGGGGCAGCTTCTGCTGTCTGCTTCTCTCTGGATCTGCTGACTCATGTGCCTGGGCCCCGATATGCTTTTGGAGGTAGAAGTGGGGCTTCCCATGTGAGAACGATGACAACCATTCTCATAACCACCATCAGAATGTCTGGAGCTGTGGGGCACAGGACAGGGGACAGATGAGAGTCCCAGAACAAGTGTCAGTGATGAATGAACAAGCGACTGTTAGGCTGATGGGGATAGGGATGTGGGGACACTGGAGCAGGTCTCTAGGGACACCTCAGTGCCTGGGAGTTTGGTCTCTGAGTAAGGGAGGATGTGACTATTCACTGTGGTGTTTACTTATTCATCTCTACTTAGAAAAATAACGAGTGCCTAATGGAGCCCACCAGAGTGGGCACAGGAACTCAGGTGTGAGTCCCTTAAGTCTGGAGAAGGCACTCTTTCACTTTCTGTTGGGGGTGGGGGGTGACGGTGGGGTGGAAAAAGGAGCAATGAGGCTACTGGATCACAGTGCGGTTGGGTCGAGGGGGACTTCATGTGATAAGATCCAGATCCTGTTGGCTGGTAGGAGAGGGAGCTGAGGTTTGTTGCAGGGTAGATCCAGCTAGTGAGTAATGGAGAAGTGGTTCAGGCCAGGATGGAAACCCGGAAGCCCAGATGGAACCTTTGGCTATAAAGTGAAGTGCTCTTCTAGCACAGGATTCCAGAAGGGCTTGAGCAGATGGCGTCATGTTGGAGAGAACGAGAGCCGGGGCCCAGGCAGGACTGAGAGCCCTAAGAGTCCATGGCGTCAAAAGCAATGCCTCAAGCCTATTCCCTTTTTGATTCTTGCACAGTGGGGGTGATCCTCTTGCTGCAAATTTCAGTACGCTCCTGAGTGCCCAGAGCATCCGCGGATAAAATGTGTTGAGCATGCTTAAGGGGGCTCTGATGGAGCAGTGACACGGGTGTGGAGACAAGAGGAAGTTTCCACAGCAGAAGTCAGCACGGACCCCCACAGGGAAGGAGGACACACATAGTCTGGGGCCATGTCACCAGCTCCTCTGTCCACCTGGAGACACACTGTCTTGTTGAAGCCCTTCTCTGCTTAGACCTTGGAAGTTCAGTTCTTCATAAGGGAGAGTGACACTGGATGTGGGTAGCACCGGTCAGGTTTCTCTTTGTGGGTATTTGGTTTCCTTACATTCATGTCATGTAAGGGTCCCTAACCTCCAGGCCACAGACTGGTACCAGTCTGCTACCAGTCTGTGGCCTGTTGGGAATCGGGCCACACAGCAGGAGGTGAGTGACGGGTGATCGACCAGTCCTGCCTGAGCTTCTCCTCCTGTCACACCAGCGGTGGCGTTAGATTTTCCCAGGAGCACAAACCCTACTGTGAACTGCGTGTGAGGAACATAGGTTGCACATACCTTATGAGAATCTAAGAAATGCCTGATCATCTGTGGTGGAACGATTTTATCCCAAAACCACCCCCCACCCCACCATCTGTGGAAAAATCATCTTCTACGAAACTGGTCCCTGGTGCCAAAAATGTTGGGGACTGCCAATCTAATAGCTCTCTCCACTCTGTGACTCATTGTGTTTTATGTAAATCCATAGCCAATGATAAAAATGTGCCAAAGAAGAACTTGAATTATGATCAAGTCTTTCAAGATGATTCAAGTGGGGTTGAGCTCAGAGGCTTGTACAATCACTTGGCTATCAAAAAGTCTTAACTCAGTGGGCATGGTGTGACCCTGTAATTCCTGCACCTTGGGGGGCTGAGGCAGGAGGGTGGTTTGATCCCAGGAGTTCCAGACCAGCCTGGACAACAGAGTGAGACCTGGTCTCTGCAAAAGAAAAAAAAAATTAGCCGGGCATGGAGACATGCACCTGTAGTCTCGGCTACTCAGGAGGCTGAGGAGGGAGGATCGCTTAAACTCGAGTCCCAGGCTGCAGTGAGTCATGACATGACAACATCACTGCGCTCCAGCCTGGGTGACAGCAAGACCTTGTCTCAAAGGAGGAAAAAAAAAAAGTCAATAACTCTTTAGGATAAGTTGATTGAGGGACTTTACATGGGAGCAGAGTTCTTTTCTCTTTGGCTTTTAGGATCAATAATTGAAAGTGACAGAAGCAGGGTTTTGTACCGGCAGAAAGCAGAAATCCCTAGCTCAGGGAGTGACCTGGCAAAGGGGACTTGTGCCCGGGGCTGGTCAGTGACTCCAAAGGACCTTTCTTACTCCAAGGGCTCAGGATTCTATAATTCCAAGCCTCAACTTTTCTCCTTCAAAGATAAGCCTTTGGATCCAAGACGTTCACACGGGAACTACAGGCCCTGTCTGCAATGTTTTAAAAAAGGTTCTGGGGGATGTGTTTATGCATCCCCTGAGAAGAGACCAATTTAGTCCTAATTGTAGTTTCTTTACCTTCAAATAATAAATGTCAGACTTACATGAGTCTGGATTTTTCACTCAGGGCTTATTTTCTAGGTGAAAGCTTTGCATTGTGAAAAAGTAAACACATCCCAGAGGGGCTGCAGCACAGCAGCAGCCACTCCACAGATCTGGGAAAAACACTTCTGCCAACCCAGGGTGTAGCCAGGCTCCACAAAGCAAGGCACGGCACCGTGTCCCATCCTCAGACCTGGCCGTGGACACTCTACTAGGGGGCTGTGACTTCCAAGCCTTTTTTTTTTTTTTTTTTTTTTTTTTACTGCAATTGACATTTCCAACCCAGCACATACCCACATACGTAACCAAAGCAAAAGCTTCACGAAATAGTGACCTACTTTACCTTCCTCCCCATGATCGACTCTGATATTTCCACTCTGATTGGATATTTCCAATCATATTTTCTGGTAGGTCCTTTTATTTTCTACCTCATTTTTAAAAAATGTTGGTCACAGTTCACTAAATTGACTTCGTGATGCGCTAATGGGGGTGAGACCCTTAGTTTGAAATTTTGAAGGAGACTGAATTCTAAAGGCAATCCGTAGATTTAGGCATATTTTAGCCCCACTTCATGGATGGGAAAATCAAGGCTTTGTTGTGAATCAGTTTGTCAAAAGCTGTCAAGGCTGTTAGCATTGCTTGGGAGAATGAGATGAGAAGCTGAGATTTATATGAATGCATATGTCTATGTATGGGTATGGTCATTCACATTTATTCATTCAACATTTATTACATGGTTACTATGCATCAGAAGCTGCCTGACTCTATGGATATAAAAAATATAAAAGTTAATAGTCCAGGGCTGGGTGCAGTGGCGTGTGCCTGCAGTCTCAGCTACTTGGGAGGCTGTGGAGGGAGGATCACTTGAGTCCAGGAGTTTGAGGATGTGGTGCACTATGATTGCATCATGATCGTCTGTGAATAGCCAATGCACTCTAGCCTGGGCAACATAGTGAGATCCCATCTCTAAAAAAATTAATGTATTAATTAATAATTAATAAAATTAATAAATTAATAATAATTATATTTATATTATATAAATATATGTTATGTAATATATAATACACATATTATAAATATATGTTTATTATTATTATTATCATTATTTATTATTCATCTCCTCAGTAAGATTAGAGCCAATTCAAGATGAAACTTTTTTCCTAGGGTCCCCTGAGCATGACTTTGGGAAACCTGGCCTTCGTGTATAAATGGGAAGGCCCGTCTTTGGTGGGTGAGTGTCCTGTTGGCTTTGGCTGGGTATGCATAAAATAAGGAGCATTTAGTTTCAGAGACGCCACATGCAGAACGCAGCCTCCCTCCCTGCATTCCAGAGGATAGGAGCACGGTGTGAGAAGGGGGCCAAGTTCCCACTCCGTTTGCCAGAACCCTCCCATTTGGTGTCTCCTGTGCTCAGACAGAGGCCGGTGGCCGCACAACATTTCTTTCTGTTAGTGGGAAGAGACGAGAGGCCCCTGAGTGCTGGATGGTGAGGTGTGACCACCAGGGAGGGCCCACATGCTGGCCTGGCTCCATAGGCCATTTGGGGACAGCCAGGCTTTGGTTCTTCTCTGATAAGCTGATGGTGTGAGGGGAGACCCTGCAGTCCCAGAAAGTACAGTAATAATAATCCCATGCCCTGGGCTCTTTGATCACTCATAGGACCCATCCAACAACCCAAGGAAGGGGCAATGAGCCCCATTTTGTAGATAAAGTAAAGCACTGTATAGTGGATATTGCCCAGGGTCCACATATAGAAATGGCAGAGGATTAGCCTCGGTCGGCCTGTGAGTGAGGGCGGAGGCTAATCCTAAGGAAGAGAGGAGCCTAAAAGAAACTGAGACTTGGCTGGAAGGCCCTGGAAGGGCGGGGTTTGCAGTTCCCTGTCCAGTCTTTACCAGCTCCCCTGCACTGTACCACCCTCTGCCCCTTTCTGCCCCAAGCTGGGGCAGGCTAAGACGGGCCCAACGAGGACATGGTGACTGCGCATTTTTGAGATCTGGTGGAGCTCGTGCACGCAGCCCTTACTCAGCCTGAGCCCTGGGCCCAGGCAGCTTGGGGAGCTCTTCTGCTCTTTCACCAAGGCCCCACCTTAATTCGCAGAAACACATGAGCGGGACCTCCATCTGCAGTTCCTAGGGAAGTTGGCCTTCTTGTCTTCCTGGAAACTCTGCTTCAGGCTCTGCCCCGTCAAGTGCCTCTCCAGGAATGAGGGTGCCTGAGGAGCTGGTTCTATCTGTGATGAGGCTTTGCTGCCAAATGACATATCCTCTGGGCTGACGCAGTGGGCTCTAGATGGCGTGGGTAGAGGGGCGAGAGGCGGCTGCTAATGCAATGAGCTGTAGATGGGGTGGGTGGAGGGGGTGCGGGAGGCAGCTGGGCTCTGTGCTCCTGCCTGTGCTCCCGGCTCACTTGCGTCAGTCATGCTCTCTCAGACTGTAATGGCATCAAAGTTTGGAAATTCCTGGGCAGATACAAAATGTTCATGCTAAATGCTCATGCTAAAGGATTGCTGGTATAGAAATGCCTTTTTATGTCTACATCAAAGTAGACATAAAAAGTTTGCTCCTTGGGGAGACCACAAAAATAGAAGCTGGGCCCCTTTCATCTCCTGCAGATAGCTGTCCATGCCAGGGCCTTGGTAAGGAAAGGGGTCATTTCAGATTCATGAGTGTGCACTTCTTGGCCCTTTATCAAACTAATGCATTTAATGTGAGAATCAAACCATTATTGCCAAGCAAGAACAATGGGTCTAGGTCCCAGACAAAGGCATCTAGAGTTTCACAGACCAGAGTGGTGTTATTCAAAGTTGGACACCCCACCCCTGATTCAGTTTATTTATTCAGCCAGGGACTTGGGGAATATATAATTTAAGTTGAAAAACAAGACTGGGAAGGGTATTATATGTCAATCTGGTTACCAAAAGAGAGGCTACAGTCCAGCCTTGTCTTGACGCCATGTGGCTTTCTCGAGAGGCCCCTATGTAAATCCAGAGACTGTGTGCTGACAGAGCCTTTTGATAAGATCAGCCTTACACCCGACCGTAAAAATCTCATTGGGAAAACTAGAGTTTTGCTTTGAATAAGCCATCAGCTTGGAAGAGGTCCTTCTATTGGGATGAAGTCCGTCAAGCAATGAGAACGTTCGGCCAGACACGCTTTGCAAACTTCCTTCAGTGCCCAAACAGGGGAGCAGAGAAAGAACTGAGAAAGACCTACCTGGTGTGGGATGCGACACGATTAGATCTGGGTTTCTGTAGAGGGACAGACCTTCCGGGTTCTGGATGAAGCCGCTCCTGTCTTTGTGTATGGAATGAACTGTGTCCTCACTCCAAATTCCTGTCTTGAAGTTTCAACCGCCAAGACCTCCGAATGGCTGAATTGGAAGATAGCGCCTTTAAAGAGGTAATAAATAAGGTTAGATGAGGTCATTAGGGTGGGCCCTAACCCAGTATGACTGGTGTCTTTATTAGAGGAGCAGATGAGGACACAGACACAAAGGGATAGCCCTGTGAAGACACAGGGAGAAGAAGCCACCTGCAGGCGAAGGAGAGAGGCCTCAGGGGAAACCAGCCCTGCTCACACCTGGACCTTGGGCTTCCAGCTCCCAGGACTGTGGGGAAATGAAATTCTGTTGAAGCCACCCAGGCTGCGGCATTTGGTTATGGCAGCCCTAGCAACGGAATCTACTTTGTAAGGAAGAATGACTTCATCGGGTAGTTCCAGCGATGGCTTGGGGACATTTTGAGGTGACCTAGAAAACAAATCATTAAGCTTTCAGCATGGAAAAGAAGTTATTCTAATGTAATGAATGAAAAAGATATCCTCTCTCCCTGCCTGCCTCCCTCCCACCCAGCCCCAACCCTGGGGAGTAAGGATGAGAGGGGCTCAGGCATGGGGCAAGGGAGTGCTGAAAACGGTGTGTGAGTCCGTTCTCGCCTTGCTGTAAAGGACTACGCAAGACTGGGTAATTTATAAAGAAAGAGGTTTAATTGGCTCATGGTTCTGTAGGCCGTACAGCAAGCATGGCTGGGGAGGGCTCGGGAAACTTCCAATTGTGGCGGAAGGTGAACGGGGAGCCAGCACGTCCCACAAGGCTGGGGCAGTAGGAAGAGAGTGAAGGGGGACGTGCCACACGCTTTTTTTCTTCCCCCAAGACAGAGTCTGGCTGTCGCCCAGGCTGGAGGACAGTGGTGAGATCTCGGTTCACTGCAACCTCCGCCTTCTGGATTCAAGGGATTCTCGTGCCTCAGCCTCCTGAGTAGCTGGGATTACAGGTGCGTGCCAACACGCCTGGCTAATTTTTGTAATTTTAGTAGAGACGGGGTGTCACTATGTTGGCCAGGCTGGTCTTGAACTCCTGACCTCAGGTGATCTGCCCGCCTCGGCCTCCCAAAGTGCTGGGATTACAGACATGAGCCACCATGCCCAGCCCACACTTTTAAACAACCAGATCTGGTGAGAACTCACTATCACGAGAACAGCAAAGGGGAAGTTCGCCCGCGTGATCCAATCGCCTCCCATCGGGCCCCTCCCCCAACACCGAGGATTACAATTTGATAGGAGATGTGGGCGGGGACCCGAATCCAAACCATATCAGGGTGCAGCGTCCAGCATGGCTACTGGGGCCTTGGGTTTGTAACAGGTGTGAACCTGACCGTGCAAACTCAGACAGGAAAGGCTGCTCTTCTCTCTTCCTTTCAAATCAAATCAAGTCTAACTCAGCCCTTCCCCTGCTGAGCTGGTGGAAAATCCATCTCAGTCATTCTTGGGGCTGTGAGCAATGTGTTTTCATTTTTATATTTTTTATTTCTTACATTGTGGTAAAGTATCTATAAAATTAAGTTTACCATTTTCACCGCTTTTAAGTGTACGTCCATAATGTTGTGCAGCCACCACCACCATCCACCTCCAGAACGATTTCATCTTCCTGAACTGAAACTCTGTACCCATCTAACTCTAACTCCCCACTCTCTGCTTCCCCAGCCCCTGGCAATACCCATTCTACTTTCTACGACTTTGACTACTTTAGGTACCTCACCTAAGTGGAACCACACATTATTTGTCCACCTGTGACTGGCTTATTTCCCTGAGCACATGCCATCCAGGTTCATTCACGTAGCGTGTGTCAGAACTCCCTTTCTTTTCACAGCGGAGTAACATTCCATTGTAGGGATTAATCATGTTTGTGTGTCCATCATCTGTTGAATATGCTGCTATGGACATGGGTGTGCAAATATCTGTTCGAGTTCTTGCTTTCCATCCTTCCGTGTATATATCTGGAGAAGAATTGCTGGGTTGTATGGTCATTCTAAGTGTAACTTTTTCAGGAACTGCCATACTGTTTTCCACAGTGGCGGCAGCATTTTACATTCTCACTGGCCCTGCACAAGGGTTCCAATACCCACGTCTTCACCACACTTGTTATATTGTGTTTTATGTTTTTGTTTGGATAATAACCGTCCTAATTGGTATGCCAAGTATTTGGCAAAGGGGACTGGATCTGAGTCCCAAAGCACCCGGGAGGCCATTCTGGTCACCACTTGAGGTCCTACTCTCAGTGGACATGAATTCTATTGCTGCCAAAGCATGGTCACCTCTCCAGGGGCTGAGAGACAGTGCTCAAGGCCTGGCCTCCTCAGACGTGTCATTCACCTGCCCCTGAGTGCCTGCCATCATCCCAGAACACCGGCATGGGGAGGACCTCACAGTCCCTGGCCCCTTCTCAGTGCTGGGCCCCTTGTCCTCTCTCCCCTGCCCTCCCAGAACACAGCACACAATCTCCTCAACAAGTCCAGGCCAGAGGTCACACACCCGACTCCAGCACTGAATGCAGCTCATCAACATGCTTTGGCTAGCTCACAACAAACTTAGCTTTTACTTTAATTAAAATCTATGCCTGCACTGGAAGATAAACCACGAACCAGCAGCCAGATGAGAGACAGCTTGGAATCCCTGCACTGTCTTCCCTCCTGATGGGCCCATTGGCTGGTGGGTGTGGCATAGCCACTGACCCTAAGGACAGAGCTTTCCAAGTGCTTCCCTCCTTTGTCCCAGGCCAGCCCTGTAATAAAGGGGTCTCTGGAGTAGGCCTTCACAAAGATAGGTGAGAAATGGGCTTGGGGTGACCCCGTGCGGCTTTGTGATGCAAACCTCCCCACAGTCTTGCTGACCTGCTTGCAGTGGAGATTTTATAAAAATGCTGGGAGAACAAAACATAAATTCTGTTCTCAAGAATGCATATTTTTACACAGTAATTTCATAAACAAACAAGCAAGCTAAGTAGAGTAATTTAACTTTTCCTTGTCGATAGCTGTCTCAATACCGTGGCTCCAAAATGGCTGTATTTTTCTGGCTTCGGCCAGTCCAGCTCACTATCTGTGAGAACCAAGGGTCTGATCTGGGAGCAAGGAAGGATTCTGGGCAGGCCTATGGGGAGACGTATTAATGGTGGGCTATTTGTAGGCCTAGACACTTCTTGAGTTCTCAAGACCATCTACAGGCTTGGGATTTCCCTGTGCACCCATGGACTAGGTTGATGCTGTGTGCAGTAGGTGAGGAAGTCAGAGTGAAGACTAATCCCAGATAATAACCACAAAGACTGTCTGCTTCTGCAAGTGAGAACATGACAATGACCTCACATAATTCTGGTGACTACCATTCAGGAGCAGGATGACAACAGTGAGATTTAGGTATTTATTTCACCTATATTTTATTTTTTAAATAAACCTTATTTTTTTTAGGGCAGTTTTAGGTTCACAACACAATTGAGTGGCAGGCATAGAAAGTTCCCATACACTGCCTGTTCCCACACACGCACAGCCTCCCTCACTATAGACATCCCCCAGGACAGCGGTACATCTGTTACAATCGGGTGACCCTACATTGAAACACTGTTCACACCCAGAGTTCAGAGTTTATGTTGGGGTTCACTCTTGTTAGACATCGGTAAGTTGGACACACGTATGATGTGTAGCATCTTGCAGAGTAGTCTCACTGCCACACAAATACTTGGTGATCTGCCTGTTCATCCCGCCCTCCCCTTGATCCTGGCAACCACTGATCTTTTTTCTGTCTTCATAGCTTTCCCTTTTCCAGAATAGGCACTAGTTTTTTAAACTTTGTAGAATTTAACAACCATTAAAACTTTTTGAAAGCTTTTTGTGTCCTTTATATCAAACCCAAATTCCTCCAGCTGTCAAGGTCACCTTAAGTTACTCCGTTCCTTGTCTTATTTTCTGTAAACACCACGCCCTGCATCCTCATCGTCACTGCTGTGATTCATACCTAGCTTAATGCTTCACAGTACGCTGTTCACAGGAGCTGACTCATTAGTCAGCACTCATGGCTCATAAGTTTTTCCTCATCATTCATTTTCCCTGTTTTTAAAAAACAGCTTTATTGAAGAATAACTCACCATAAAAATCCACTCATTACGGATGATCCTCAATTTATAATGGGGCTATGTCCTGATAGACATTACATAGTCCATTGTAAGTTGAACATATCATTAAGTTGAAAATGCATTCAATATACCGAACCTACAGAATATCACAGCTCAGCCCAGCCTACCTTAAACATACTCAGAACACTTACATTAACCTATCATTGGGCAAAATCATTCAACACATAGCCTATTTTTATTATGAAGTGTTGAATATCTCATGTAACTTATTGAATACTGTGCCAAAACTGAAAAACAGAAGTGTTGTATAGGTATGCAAAATATGATTCCTACTGAATGTGGATTGCCTTTGAGCCTTCCTCAAGTCAAAAAATCATAAAGTGAACCATTGTAAGTCAAGGACTGTCTGTACAAGTGTACAATTCAATGATTTTTTTTTTTTTAGCCAATTTATAAAGTTGTGGAGCTGTCACTGAAATCCAGTTTTAGGATGTCTTCATCACTCCAGAAATTTCTCTTGTGCTCATTTGCAGTCCTTGCTTCTACCCGAGTCCCGGGCATCTGTTAATCTTTCTGACTCTGCAGATTTGTCATTTCTGGACATTTTATATAAATAGAATCACAGAATATGTAGTCTTTTCTGTCTGGCTTTTCTCCCTTAACTTAATGTTTCTGAGGCTCATCTGGGTTAGAGCATGGGTCATTGGATTGGCGCTCCTTTTCCGGCTAGAGCCGTTCAAGTGGGCTTGCAGTGCTTCTCGTGGGTTTATTAGCCATTCACATTTCTTCTCTGGTGAAACGCCAATTGAAATAATTCATCCCTTTAAAAATTGGATTAGGAGGGGAATGGGGAAATCATGGTCAAAGGATATACAATCTTAGGAGGAGTAAGGGTTTTTTCTGAGATCTGTTGCACAGCATGGTGAGTATTGTTAATAATAATATTAGTTAATAATAGTGTTAATAGTTAATAATGATAGTAATAGTATAGTGTACATTTAAAAATTGCTAAGAGTCAGCTGGGTGCAGTGGCTCACACCTGTAATTGCAGCACTTTGGGAGACCGAGGAGGGTGGATGACTTGAGGTCTTCGAGACCAGCCTGTCCAACATGGTGGAACCCCATCTCTAATAAAAATACAAAAAAAAATTAGCTGGGCGTGGTGGTGCATGCCTGTAATCCCAGCTACTCGGGAGGCTGAGGCAGGAGAATTGCTTGAACCTGGGAGGTGGAGGTTGCAGTGAGCTGGGATTGAGCCATTGCACTCCATCCTGAGTGACAGAGTAAGACTCCATCTCAAAAAAAAAAAAATGCTTAGAGTCAATTTCAGAAGTTCTCATTACAAAAAATGGTAAGTATTTGAGGTGATGGATATGTTAGTTAGCTTGATTTAATCAATCCACACTGTATTCATAAATCATAACATCATTTTTTGCCCCATTAATATATACAATTATATGTTGCAAATTTTATAACAAAATAATTGGGTTCTTTGTTTTCTTGTTATTAAGCTGTAGGAGTTCTTAATATACTCTGGATAGACACCCTTTAATTAGATGTATGATGTGCAGAATTTTCCCCCCAGTCTGTAGATTGTCTTTTCATTTTTTTAATAGTGTCTTTTGAAGAGCAAAATTATTAATTTTCATAAAGTTCAAGTTATCAAAAACTTTTTGATTATATTTTTGGTGTCATTCTAAGTAATCATTGTCCAACTAAACTTCACAAAGATTTCCTCCTATGTTTTCGTCTAGGCGTTTTGTAGTTTTAACTTTCATATTTAAGTTGATGCTCCATTTTGGGTGTTTTTGTGTATGGTGTGAGGTGAGAGTATAAGTTTTTTGTTGTTGTTGTTGTTGCGTGTGGATATCTAATTGTCCCAGCACCATTTGCTGAAAAGCTACCCTTTCATCATCGAGTTACTCTGGCAACATTGTCTGGAAACATAAAGGTATATTTCTTGCTTTTGTATTCTGTTCTGTTGATCCACGTGAATCCCCACATCGATTCCATGCTGCCTGGATCACTGCAGCTTTATGCGAAGCTTTGAAATGGGGCAGAGGCTCAGTTTGATGAGACACATTTGTTCATGCTCCCTGGCCCACTTTCTGGAACTGTGAATCTATTTACAGGTTACTTATGGACTCTTTTCTTTTCTTTTCTTTTCTTTTCTTTTCTTTTCTTTTCTTTTCTTTTCTTTTCTCTTTTCTTTTCTTTTTTCTTTCTTTCTTTCTTTCTTTCTTTCTTTCTTTCTTTCTTTCTTTCTTTCTTTCTTTCTCTCTTTCTTTCTTTCTTTCTTCCTTCCTTCCTTCCTTTCCCTCCCTCCCTCCCTCTCTCTCTCCTTCCTTCCTTTCTTCTCTCTCTCTCTTTCTTTCTTTCTTTTTGATAGGGTATCACTCTGTCGCCCAGGCTGGAGTGCAGTGGCATGATCTTGGCTCACTGCATCCTCTGCCTCCTGGGTTCAAGCGATTCTCCTGCCTCAGCCTCCCGAGTAGCTGGGATTACAGGCATGTGCCACCATGCCCAGTTAAGTTTTGTATTTTTAGTGGAGACGAGGTTTCACCATGTTGGCCAGACTGGTCTCAAACTCCTGACCTCAGGTGATCTGCCCACCTCAGCCTTCCAAAGTGCTGGGATTACAGGAGTGAGCTACTGCATCCGGCCCTCGAACTTCTTAATATGATAGCTCAGGACTTCAAGACAGCAAGCATGGAAGCTGCAGTGCCTCTTAAGGTCTAGGCCCTAGCACTCTCACCTGTCATGGCTACTGCATTCTCTTGGTCATAATGAGTCATAATGCCATAATCTCAGAAGGGGAAAATAGGCTCCGCCTCTTGATGGGAGACATGTATGTGCATTCAGAGACAGGGGGACCTTTTGGCTACCGTCTTTGCAGATGTTCTACCACAATTCCCAACCCGAGAGACTTCATTTTGTGTGTTAAGTGCCATACTGTAAGATGTGGGAACACAGTAAATGCTCAAAAAATAGTAATTGGCTGATTGTATAGGTGCCTCCTCACGGTAAGAATAGCACAAAACAGGAAGGTGACATTGGCGACATTGAGAGTTAAACTTCACAGTTTTTTCAAGAGTTTTGTGTCGAGTCCAGTGATGTTAAGGCCAACTCTACCAGTCATGATGAAATCTTTCACTGGAGCACAGGCTCAAACCAGTGCTTTTAGTCCAATTTATTAGAATAAAAATAGGTTAAAACAAAATCTCACTTCTCCTTTTGTAAAAACATCTGCTTCCCATGTCAGACAGCTACAGGTCATTCTGTTTCAGCCAGCATCAAGTTCTGTCACTTCCATCTACTAGACAGCCCTCAAATCTGTCTGTTCCTCTACCTGCATTCCTCATCCTCTTACCTCCGACCTTCCTCACTCATCGTCCAGCCTCCAGACATGCTTCTCTTCCACAGCACAACCAGTGTCATTTTTCTAAAATGCTCATCCTACATGACACTCTTATGCCCAGAGGATGAAGTCTCAATTGCTTAGGAGAGTGCCCAAAGGCTTTTGGGATTTAGCCCTGCCTACGTCTCTGGCCGCTTCCACCTCTGCTCTCCACTTGAATTCTTTACCCCAGGCATGCATGTTTACTTATAGTGTTTGAAATTTTCCTTGAATGTGCTTTTCTGTTTTAAGTCTCTGTACCTTTGCACGTACTGTCCCATGGGCCTGGAATACCCCTCCCCAACTTCTAACATCCACCTGATGAAAACTCCTATTAATGCACACATCAGCTTTTCAAGGCCTTGTCGCACACCAATCCATGCAATTGCGTAAAATGATTTAAAGATAACATTTCTGAGCAGTTTCAGGCTGCAGTAATATTTAATGGTATATCACACAGAGTCACAGACATTGTTGGGTCCTGCACAAAAGCTGGTCCTCCTTTCAATCCTTGCTAAAGGACTTTGATTTGGCTCAGCTTCTCACATTCTCTGTGCTCACCAGGGGCTCAGAAGATGGGTGAGTGGGACCATGTTAGGAGTGATGGGAGCATGTGACTTTTCTCAGAGTGGCCAGAAGATTAGCATCAGGTCAGGGAATGCAGAGGGAGGCTGGGAAGGTAGGCTGCTGTGATGTTTCCAAAGCTCTTCTGTATCAAAGAATTTGGGTGGTTTTTCTATAAAGCCACTCCTCAGCACTCTCATGCCCTAGCCATGTGGATAGACCCCTGTGGCTGTGTTTGTACCAGGCTGTGACCCTTCTGATTAAGGTCACATAGCTGAGCAGTGCTCCATAGCTCCAGGGCTGGACTATGCCAGTATGATTACTCTCCTAAGAATTTGGAATTGAAACTGGAGTCACTAAGTCTTAGTCAGAGCTTGAACTGGGAGGACACAAATTTTGGGAACTGAGTAGAAGCTGTCTTTTGCCCTCTGCATTGAGAAGCACAGAAAAATGGCCCAGAGAGAGACAGACAGACACACAGAGAGAGTCAGAGACAAACTGAGACACGATTAGGGACTGAATTTTGTTTCACTCAAATTCGCATGTAGAAGTCTTAATCTCCAATGTGTCTGTATGTGGAGATAGGGTCTTTAAAGAGATAATTAAAGTTGAACCCAGTCATAAGGGTGGGGCCTTGACCTAACAGAGCTGTGTGTCTAAAGGAAGAGAGATACTGGCCGGGTGAGGTGGCTCACTCCTGTAATCCCAGGATTTTGGGAGGCTGAGGCAGGAGGATTGCTTGAGTCCAGAAGTTTGAGACCAGCCTGGGCAATGTGGTGAAATCCCATCTCTACAAAAAAATAGAAAAAAATCAGCTGGGTGTGGTGGTGCATGCCTGTGGTCCCAGCTACTTGGGAGGCTGAGGTGGGAGGATCACCTGGGCCCAGGAGGCAGAGGTTGCAGTGAGCTGAGATTGCACCATGGCACTTCAGCCTGGGTGACAGAGTGAGACCCTGTCTCAAAAAAAAAAAAAAAAAAAAAAAAAAAAGAAGGGACATACCAGAGATATACCAGAGATGGACATGGCATATGAGGACACAGCAAGGAGGTGGCCATCTGTAAGCCAAGGAGGGAGGCCTCAGAGAATTCACCCCTGCCCACACCTTGATCTTGGACTTCCAGCCTCCAGGACTATGAAAAAATATAAGCCCCCTAGCCTGTGGTATTTTGCTATGGCCGCCCTGGCAAACTAGTACAGACACAGAGAGAGAGAGACTGGGCCACAGAGAAATAAAGAGAAGCAGGGACAAAAACTATGGGATGCCAGAGATTGGTGTGGGAGAGCTGACTGCCCTGGTTGTAGAGGATTTCCATTTCCTGCTTCTCATCCCTTATGGGGCGTGACTATACTTCTTGTCCTTGGGTTCTGCGGGGCTCCCTCTGTATCCTTGTGGTAGCCCATATTTTTCTGAAGCTACTTCTAATGAGTTCCTGTTACATCCAAGACAAAGGCAGAGGCACATGTAGGAGGTAATGATTCCAGCTTTCAGCAGGCTGAGTTTGCAGTACCAGGTGGAGCTGCCCAGTAAGCAGCTCAGGACCGACCTCAAGGCAGAAGAAAGAGCCTACCAGAACCTCCCTGGGACCCAGCCCCATGAAGAAAAGGGCCATTCTATCCCAACCCTAGCCCTAGAACACAGTAGGCGTTCAATAGTCATTTATTAAATGAATGAGTGAAGATGGATTTGCTACATAGTAATAGACATTGCTTTTCGCAGTTGAAGGTTTTGTGAGACCTCAGTGATTCCTGTTTGGAGCAGCAGCTCTCTTGTTAAAGCACCGATAAGGGAGGAACAGAAGGCACAAGGGATTGGGCTTATCATGTACAGACTTCAGAAAAGTCCCTGAAAGATTCTTTTTTTATTTTCTTGCAAATTCCTTTCACAAAATCCCCAACATTAGCTAATTTTCTTCTGTTTTTTGTTTTTTTTTTTTGTCTTTCCTAAAAATGGAACAGGATAACCAGTTGTAGTTCAAAGTCTCTTTTAAGCATTTGATCCTTGAACTTCAATAAACATACACTCTGAACTATTGGAATTTATATTTTTTTTAAGAATTAACATTGGTTAATGACAACCTCAGCTCAGAAATGAAGCTCATTTGAATTGCTTTTTTTTAGGCTGCTTAATGAATTTCTGAGACTTACCTGCTTTCCAGGTATTTTTTCTTTGAGCCTAAAGGCCTAAAATGCAACTTAAAAAACAAATTAGGAGGCATGGACTTACCAATAAGTTTAGTTGGGTGCAGAGGTTTGGGATGACTTTATAGACCTCCAACTACACCGAGAGAAAAGCTGAGGAAGACTAAAGAGACCAAATTCCAGAAGTAACTGATTTGGAAAAGACTCAATGAAAGATTGAGGGCCCTAGTGGTTGTTCTGGGGCTTAAGAAACATAAGTGCTTTTGGCCACTTTACTTGCTTTGAAAACCACACAAAATAGTTTTTCCATTTTACTTAGGGTTTGGAACCTCTGTGTTCAAAATAACTTCAAACAGATGTGTTTGATGTCAAACATTCTCCCAAAAGACCACGCCTGCTCCTTTGCAGGGGAAAGTGACACGTAACTCCTGGAAAACAGTCTTTTATGTGATAGTGCCATTTATCTTCTTTCTCTCCAGATTGGGAAATAGTCAAGCCTGAGTCAAGTTAGCCACAACTGGCTTTGAAAACATGTGCTGAGTTTCATAAAAACTGAAATACAAAATTGAATGTGGTAATTCAAAGACCAAGAGTTTGAGGGAAGAAGGCAGGAGAGGTAGGGAAAGGATATAATATTTGAGAGAGAAGATCTGCTTGAAAGGCTCTGGATTCTGTCTGTGTAACTTGACACTCTATGTAGTTGTCTATTAGTGTCCTCTGTAATGGGGATTAGGCATGCTGGTCTCATTCCAAGGGACGTAGTGTAACTAATATGTGGATGCACACCACCACTACCTCCACCTGCACCATCATGACTATCACCACCACAATACCACCTTCACCACAACCACTGCCACCACCAACATCATAACTGCTAGCACCACCACCACTGCCACAAACACCACTACAACCGTCACCATTGCCCATCACCATCACCATCACTACTATCACCACTACCATCACCATCTCTACCACCACTATGACAACACTGTCATCACCATCATCACCATCACCACAACACTACCTTCACCACCACCACCACCGTAACTATTAGCACCATTAGCACCATCACTATCATCACCACTATCATCACCACTACCACCACAATACCATCACCACCACATTACAATACATCATCACTATCACCACCACCATTACCACCATTGTTACAGTCACCACCATCACCACCACTGTCATCACCACCACCACACCACCGTCACCACTATCATCACCAATATCACCACTATTATCACCAATATCACCACCACCACCACCATCACCACCACCACATCACAATACCACCATCATCACTATCACCACCACCACCACCATCACCACCACCACCACCACATCACAATACCACCATCATCACTATCACCACCACCACCATCACCACCATCGTTACAATCACCACCATCACCACCAATGTCACCACCACCACCACCATCACCACTATCATCACCAATATCACCACTATTATCACCAATATCACCACCACCACCACCATCACCACCACCACATCACAATACCACCATCATCACTATCACCACCACCATCACCACCATCGTTACAATCACCACCATCACCACCAATGTCACCACCACCACCACCATCACCACTATCATCACCAATATCACCACCATCACCAACACCACCACTACCATCACCACCATCACCACCATGACCAAAACACTACCCTCAATGTTTGAAGCAGAAACCTCAGGTTAAAAGCAAGGACAAAAAGTTCGCGTGTAGAAGTCAGCCCACCCAGGCTTTATATTTACTAAATCTGCTTAAGAGGATTAAAATCCTGATTTAACAGCCATCTGTTACAAAATTCCTCCAAATCATTACCTCTCTTATGTCAAGGATTATACATCAAAGTCAGGTCGTGTTTTACATTTTACCCCACAATTCAGCCAAACGCTTCTTGAGGAATTTAATTTATTTCAAGACTACATCTCATTGATGTTCCTTGCATTCTTGCCTAACTACTTTCTTTGTATTTACTTTGGCTGATGCATCGTCGCATAGTTAGACGAAAGGAAATAGCTGTGTTTTCCAAGTTGCGAACGCTAAGGGGAGCACTTAATCTTTACAGTATTTTGAGGAGAAATCCAACTTCAAGATACGTGCGTGCCAGCAGACACATGGATTCTTTATGCTGAAATTTTCAGGGATCATGACTAATGTCTAGTGCAGGGCACACTAAATGAATAGAAATCACATAGCAGAATTAGCCTTGTTTCAACATTTGAAAATGAGCATTTGGTGCGATTTTCAGAGTTCTTTGTACTCTTGGAGAAGTGTGTTTCTTTTTCCTCTTGGACACTATGATAATAGGAATAATAATTAGTTAAGTGCACAGTTTATCAATTATCTTCTTGATATAGGTATTTGGCCAGGCAATTTAAGACTCATAAGCTCATTTAGTTCTCCAAGAAAATTCCAAGGTAGGTGAGCACTTTGCACAGTGCCTGACACACAGAAGAAGCTGGAGAAATATGAGCTATGATTACAACTGTTCTAACGCTCCAGGGGGGAAAATTATATCACATGCTCTTGGTCCCACAGTTATGGGTGTAAGGGGCAGAATTCAAGTCTGGTTCAATGTGACTCTGAAACCCAACTTTCCAACTTACCAGGAATCCTCCCCTATGAGAATGCACACACCTAGACTATGGGTTATCAAAGACTAGTATGGATCCACTTTTACTCCATTTTAGACCCCTTTAAGGCCAGTGGGTGAGAGGACATTCCGTAGCTTTGGAACAAAACTAAGTTAGATGGAAGGGAGTGGACCTGGAATCTTGGGTAAGCCCAAGCAGCACTGTGATCTACCTGGAGCCAACTCTAGGGAAAATAAACAGCTGGAAATGTTATTTGAAGCAACCCCCGCCCCCATAACCTGCACACATGGATGCATGTGCGCATGTACACACACACGCATACACATGCACACAGGCATATACCTATCCCCATATCTCCAGGTGTTGCCTTTCTTTCCTCCTCAGCCTCCCAAGGCCTATTCACAATTCCGACTAATATTAGAATTGGGAGGTAAAAAGTTCCCATTTCCAGTGGGAAGACTTTGGAGCAGCCCAGAGTGGGCATTGATGACCCGCAGCTGAGCAGGAGTTGATGAGCTCACATGAAGGGTGGCCTCTCCTCTAAAACCTTGGCGGAGAGGCCCTTCTCAGGATATCATTGCTGACTCAAAAGATCTTGATACTTTACAGAGTCTTTAATATCTAGCCAATTAATTTCTAGATTTTTCTTTCAGAAAAAAACTTTAAACTTTTTATTTTGGAATAATGATAGGTCCACAGGAAGTTTCAAAAATCAAAGGCCTGTGTACCCTTCCCCAACTTTCCCCCAAAAGTAACAGCTTACATGACGATTGTACAGAGCCAGGAAATAGACATGAGTATAGTACTGCTGACTGGTCTACAGACCTTAGGCAGAGTCCCCAGTTTTCACCTGCACTCATTCGTGTGTGTGTGTGTGTGTATAGTTCCATGCAATCTTGTCCCATGTGCAGTTTCTACCACAACCCAAATCCCAACCGTTCTATCTGCACAACGTCACTCTCACACTACCTTTCTTTGTGTGTGTGTGTGTGTGTGTGTGGAATTTTTTTTTAAATTTTACTTTAAGTTCTGGGATTCATGTGCAGAACGTGCAGGTTTGTTGCATAGGTATACATGTGCCATGATGGTTTGCTGCACCTATCAACTCATCATCTAGGTTTTAAGTCCCACATGCATTAGGTATTTGTCCTAATGATCTCCCTCCCCTCACCCCAACCCCCCAACAGGCCCTGGTGTGTGATGTTCCCCTCCCTGTGTCCATGTGTTCTCATTATTCAACTCCGACTTATGAGTGAGAACATGCAATGTTTGGTTTTCTGTTCCTGTGTTAGTTTGCTGAGAATGATGGTTTCCAGCTTCATCCATGTCCCTGCAAAGGACATGAACTCATTCTTTTTTATGGTTGCATAGTATCCTATGGTGTATATGTGCCACATTTTCTTTATCCAGTCTATCACTGATGGGCATTTGGGTTGGTTCCAAGTCTTTGCTATTGTAAATAGTGCTGCAGTAAACATACACTTGCATGTGTCTTTATAGTAGAATGATGTATAATCTTTTGGGTATACACCCAGTAATGGAATTACTGGGCACGCTGCCTTTTTACAGTCACATGCCACTACACACACACATTCCCCCCTGGATCCCCATCCCCTGGCAAACACTAATTTTTCTCCATCTCTATAATGATGTCATTTCAAGAATGTTATATGACTGGGATCATATAGTATGGAACCTTCTGAGATTGGCTTTTTTCACTCAGCATAAAGCCTCAGCACTGTGTTCCTTCTGACTGCTCAGTAGTATGCCATGGTGTTAAACTGTGGCATATCCACACCATGGCATACTACTGAGCAGTCATATGCCACAGTTTAACCATGCAGTCTCCCAAGGACATTTGGATGATTTTCAGGTTTTGATTGTTGGAAATAAAGCTTCTACAAATATTTGTGTGTGGGTTTTTGCATGGACACGAGTTTCCGCTTCTCTGGGATAAATGCTGAGGGGCAAGCTCTGCACCACGTGACAAGTATATGTTTAGTTTCATAAGAAACTGCAAAACTGTTCTTCAGAGTGTCTGTACCACTTTGCCTCCCCACATGCAATGTCTGAGAGATGCAATATGTCTGCCTTCTTGCCAGTGTTTGGAACCATCACTATTTTTTTGTTCTAGCTGTTCTGATAGGTGTGTAGTGATGTGTCAGATATCTCATTGTGGCTTTAATTTGCATTTTCCTAATGGCTAATGAAGTTGAGCAACTTTTCATTGCATATTTGCAATCTCTTCTTTGGTGAAATGTCTGTTCAGGGTAGGTTATGCTGTGGTGGTGATCTTTTCTTGACTTTAATTGCATTCGTATAGTCATTACCACACAACTGAATAAAGGAAAATTAAAGTGGTGAGTGCTTATTCTATTATCTGTTTTTGCCTCCATGGTGCTGTGTTTGGAGTCTAAGGCTCCGCCAGTTATGAGCAGAATGCACTATCCTTTTACATTCTATTAAGGAAAAACATGCTGAAATTAAAATAACCAATGCTGATTTTAGAGCTACTAAAAGTGAAGGCAATGTACATCTTAGAATAGGAAAAGAGGGCGTATTACTTAGACCTCACTTTTATAGGTAGCCCAGTGAGGTTTAAGGTATGAGTCAAGGTCATCCCTGGTGGTGGAGTCAGGCTTTGCAGGTTCTGGCCTCAGCAGAAAGCTCCTTCTGCTCTTTGGTCTCAGATGGTCTTGTGTGTATTGGTTCTGTCTTCTGAGTTTGTTAGAAGCTTCTTGGTTTCGAAAAGTTAATCACTGAATTACTATATGATCCAGCATTACACTTCTAAGTATATACCCCGAAGAATTGGAAGCAGAGACTCTAACAGATACTTTATGCCTATGTGCATAGCGTTGTTATTCACAATAGGAAAGGGTGGAAACCACGCAAGTCTCCATCAACAGATGAACGGCTAAACAAAATGGGATGTATCCATACAACAGAATATGATCCAGCCTTGAAAAGGGAGGAAATCCTGACACCTGCTACAGCATGGACCTTGACATTATGCTAAGTGAAATAAACCAGTCACAAAAGGACAAATACTGTATGATTCCACTTGTTTAGGTACTTAGAATAGTAAAATTCATACAGACAGAAAATAAAATGCTGGTTGCCAGGGGCTGGGGAAGAAAGAATAGGGAATTATTGGTTAATGGGTGCAGAGTTTCAGTTTGGGAAGATAAAAAAAATCCCTGGAGATGAATGCTGTACAGTGATTGCACAACAATGTGAATTACTTACATCACAGAACTATACCCTTAAACATGGTTAAAATGGTACATTTTATGTTATGTATATTTTAACACTATAAATAAAAGCTTCTTGTGGACAGAGACCATGACTTGGGTTCCCCAGAGCTGGAAACACACAGACACTCAGGGAGGGGTGCTTGTCCGTTGTTCAGGAAGGAATCCCTGTCCTCAGAGAGCTCACACTGTCCCTGGAGTGTTCTCCAGACACACAGACACACGGGAAACCAAGATGAGCCACAGGCAAGTATTTGCAGGTGTGGAAGAGGCTCTGCAGTAGGGCCGAGGGGGCGCTAAGTGAGGGGAAGGCATCCTTTGGGACGGTGCCAGTCAGGAGGGCTTTGTGGAGCTCTGTCTTAGACTGGGCCTGAAAGGAAGCGTGGGGATTTCGGTCGTTGGAGTGGAATGTGTGACTTCAAAGTGGACCAAAGAGACAAAGGAAATGCCTGGAGGCCCCTGAGTGCTGGGGGTGGTCAGGGGATGGAGAGGGCTGATGTGGGGGAAGGGGACTGTGGGCAAGTGGTGAGAAGTAACACAGGATGCACAGCGTGGGAAGGGCAGGCTGAGTGGGTCCAGAAGGCAGGAGTGAGGGTCTATCTATCTATCATCTGTTTATGTATGTATGTGTGTATCTATCTATCTATCTATCCATTATCTATCATCTATCTGTGTATCTATGTATCTAGTCACCTATTCATCTATTATCTATCAGCTATCTATGTATCTATGCATCTACCTATGTATCTATTGTCTATATATCTATTATCTATCATTTATTATC
Organism: Homo sapiens; assembly: GCF_000001405.40. Taxonomy (NCBI): domain Eukaryota; kingdom Metazoa; phylum Chordata; class Mammalia; order Primates; family Hominidae; genus Homo; species Homo sapiens. The sequence continues at coordinate 1,472,988 of NC_000006.12, read as the reverse complement.
TATCTTCATCTATCAATCTATTTTCTATTTTCTATCATCTATCTATCATCTATCTTCACCCATCTATCCATCCATCCATGTATCTATCATCTATCTATTATCTATCATCTATCATCTACTTCTATCTATCTATCTATCTATCTATCTATCTATCTATCTATCTATCTATCATCTATCTTTCTTTCTATCTTCACCCATCTGTCCATCCATCTATCCATATATCTATTATCTATCTATCATCTATCATATACTTCTATCTGTCTATCTATCTATCATCTGTCTTCACCCATCTATCCATCTGTGTATCTATCTACAGTTGTGTTATATATAATACACACAATCCATCATTTCAACCATTTAAGGTGTACAGTTTGGTGGCACTAAGCACATTCACACTGTTGTGCAGCCGTCACCACCACCCATTTCCAGGACTTTTCCCATCTTCCCTAACTGAAGCTCTGAACCCATTAAACACCAACTCCCCATACCCCACTCCTCCCAGCCCCTGGCGAATGAGGTTTAGTTTTGAAGTAGCAATTAAGAACAAGGTCTCATGTCAGGAGGCCTGGCATGTGTGTCTTAAGGTATTTAGGTCACAAAAAGCAAACTCCCCCCTCAGCTGGTTCAAATGGAGGGGCTCTGTGACAGAGAGGCACAGAGGGCAGGAGGCATCCTTGCTGTGACCCCAGGATGGAGGCACAAAAGGGAAGACAAGGTGTGGGGGTCCCAGATCAGGAGTCCTGTCTGCCCTGGGGGCTTCAGCCAGCCCACACAGACACACCTCTAGTGCCTTCAGAGCGACTCAGCTCCACTCTGTTGGTCTGGCCAGCTGATAGTTCGTCTATTCAGGTTCTGAACAGTAGCTGGCCAGAGGCTGTGGGGTGACTGAGGCATAAACACAGCCCCAAGGAGCCGGCAGGAAGAAGCGGCACTGGTCTGGGGAGGGGCAAAGGGAAAAGGGGGGCACATGGTGTTCAGAGAAGACTCTTGCCCAGTTGGGTTTCAGAAGGACCTGGCGGCCAGGGAGACCCACTTAGGGCTGATACAGTGGCCCACGTGTGAGAGGGAGGGCCTGCGCCAGGGGAGAGGTGAACCCCAAAGGTGTGTCAGGAGAGGAAGTGCTGAGAGGCACAGTCCTGAAGGGCAAGGGGCCATGCCGAGTTGAGGTTTGAGCTTGGAGGATGTGGAGTGTTATCTGCAGGGAATGAGGGTATTCTCTAGAGAGCCTGACATGTAATTTCTTCCTCTAATCCTGTCACAACCCTCTAGACTCAGGTAACGCCTGATCTTTGGTGGATGATGGTTCTGAACTTGAGCCCTGGTGCTGCCATAGCAGCCTGACCTTGGGGAGTCATTAGCTCCTCTGAATCTCAATGTTGTAAACTGGGATTGTGACCAATTCAAGTTCGCCTGCTCGCCACACAAGAAGCAAGGTGCAGTTTAAAAAAAGCAACTTTATTTGGGTGCTAGCAGTCAAGAAAAGGCCAGGCCCGTGCCTCTGAAAGAGCATTTCATATTGTTTTGGCTCAGTAAAGGGTTTAAGAAGGGAAACTTGGTATGAGAAGCCTGTGGGAATGGCGCTGGATATGGGATCTATGTGTCTTGTTTCGATGGCTATCTTGAGTTGTGGTCCACCTGGAGTGTGGGCTGGAGCCATCTCGACAGTGGCTGAGTTGTAGACTAACCACCATGAGGTCACCTCTAGATGGGAGGGTTCTGCAGCTGGGTCTCCATGCCTGGTTCATTTCAAGATTAGGCCCTGGAATTTCTAAGCAAGCACATAATTAGGTTAACTATCACAGTGCAAGGAGGGTCCAGTGGGAAGTTAGGGAAACAAAGAGTTTCAAAGTATATTTCAAGGCTAAAACTAGAGAGAAGAAAAGGATGTTTTAAAATGCGTTTTGGAGCTAAGCTACTTGGTTACAGGTCGAGTCACAGGACCTACCTCATGGGGTTGTGCAACGGATCATCTCTAGGCCATGTTAGGTGCCTGGTAAGGTACTGGACACAGAGGAGATGCTTAAGGAACAGTAGAGTGTTATTAGGTATCGTCGGTGCATTAGGTCAGCATTTTCCAAAGTTGTCAATCCTTCCTTGTCCTGGGCAGAGTTCTAAGAGGGCCTGTGAGATCTGAGAGCTGGGGCCCTGAGCACTCACCCTGATGGCTCCTCCCTGGGGTATGAGTGGGGCCGTGGACCTGCTGGACTCTCATTCCTGTGTTTGGGCCACTAATTGGTTGATTTTGCGATAATCAGAAAGGAGACTGACCTGCTTGCCATCTTCAGCTCATATTGTATTATTCTGTCCCTTGCCCACTCCACATAACTTTTTTCTGTTTTTCAAACATTTCAAAGTTTCTTCCCACATTTAGGGCAGCCATGCATAGAAATAACACGGTAGTCTCTCTCCCTTTCCCCCCACAGCAATCACACAAGGCTCTTGCACCTCTTTATAAAGCCTCCGCAGCTGCCATTTACTTCTGTAGTTATGCCTTTCATCTTGATGCTCATTTTGATTGTTTCCACTTAGAAAACAACTAATTTTGGAGATGAGATAGAGTATGTTGGTGTCAGTAGGAATTTCACTCAGCAAATAGGAACCAATGAAGACTTACGAGGGGTACATTTGCTGGTTTCAGTGGAATCAGAAAGGAGCTGTCTCATCAGCAATGTTTAAGGTGGATTCAGAAGAGAAGGGCCCATAGCCAAGTGAAAGGTGTTAATAGTTCCAGGAATAGAATCACATAGAAAAACCCCTCTGTGAAGTGATCTGTGGTTTCTCGTGGTGATTTCCAGCTGAAGCTCATTACAGATGGGCGGGGAAGGCCTGTGCATTAAGGTAAGTACAGCCCCCAGGGGAAAGAAGGGCTCTCCTGAAGCCAGTTCCCTTTTCTGGGATGGCCAGGAGACAGAGGAACCAAGGAGCAGAACTTTAATTGTGACTTTCTTTAGTTGTTCTTGGATAGTCAGTTTCAAACAAGAGTGATTTCACGATCAGTACATGCTGTCTTTGCCCCCTCATCCCTCAAGGATTCTGACAAAGCCCCTACCCCTTCCTCAAGGGTCTGGTTTGTAAAAAACACACACTTTCCCAGAGTTCCACAATTGCTTTCCAAAATAACTGCTCCAGATGCTTTTTGGAAATAAATACTTTTTTTAGAATTCATAAAGCAAATCCTTGGGATCAGAGGAGTAAAGGAGGAAGCTTAGAGCTGAGCAAACCAGGAGATGTTTAAAAGAGAGAGACAGGAAGGACGTGAGGCTTCGGGGTGTGACACGGACGGTTGGGTGGAGTGTCATGCTGGGGCCCAGCTCTTACAGTACCTGAGGGAATCCTTGGGGGGATATGCCACAGCTCTGAAATAAGAAAAATGTCCACCTAGCGTGGTGAAATCTCCACTTTATTTGTTCCAATGAATGTGTATTTGCATATGTTATAAAATTTCCAAGAATTAACTTCCTAAAGAATATTTAGTAGCATTGTTCTATTGGTCTCTGTGGAAAAGATGTAAGCAAAGTAAATGTCCATTGGCTGAGGATGGTTGAATAAATGGGGATAGGTCTACTCTATGGAGTTTTATGCAGCCACTAAAAGGAATGAGTGACAGCTGCCCTGCCAACTCACCTGGTGGGATTTCCACGAGGAGTCTATGAGTGTAGAAAGGAAGGCGTGGGGAAGTGTGAATACTGGGACCCAAAATTTATAAAAGAAACACAGAAAAGCTTTGGTATGCCTATACGTTGTACAGTTCATAGATCCCGATAGTTACAGGGGCGTGGGTGAAACCCTGAAGGACCCATGCCAGGTGTTACCTGTGGTGGAGACAGGGGGAGGTGACATAGAGAAGAAACAGGTGGGGGCAAGCCAGCAAGGAAAAGAAGGCCATGTCAGCTGCAAAGCTTGATTTATACGATGTGACTCCATTTCTATAAACTTTCACCTGTCTGTGAAAGGAAAATAGGATCTTGAGACCCCAAACTCACTAAGCCAAAGGGAAAAGTCAAGCTTGGGAACTGAATCATGCAAAGACTGCTTGTTTTTTGTTCCTAAGTAGATGGCTACAAGGATAAAAGGCCAAAAAGGCTCCCCAGGGTCAGTGGCTCATGCCTGTAATCCCAGCACTTTGGGAGGCCGAGGTGGGTGGATCACCTGAGTTTAGGAGTTCGACACCAGCCTGGCCAACATGGGGAAACCCCATCTCTACTAAAAATACAAAAATTAGCTGGGCGTCATGGCGTCTGCCTGTAATCCCAGCTACTTGAGAGGCTGAGGGAGGAGAATCTCTTGAACCTGGGAGGCGGAGGTTGCAATGAGCCGAGATCGCACCACTGCACTCCAGCCTGGGTAACAAGAATGAAACTCCATCTCAAAAAAAAAAAAAAAAAAGAGGCTCCCCAGGGGGCCTCCCACACAATTTACTCACAAGGAAATTCCTTGTGAACCCCAAGATCTTTACCTTAAAACGGTTCTGTTGAATTTCACCCTGACAGTGTAAATCAGCAGCTTATCTTCACAGGTAGGGAAGGAAGGCAGGACTACAAGTCACTCATCTGCTCACCTGAGACAAATGCGTGTGCGACTGCCCCCTCTACTCTCTGTGTATCTAATGTGAAAATGCAGATTCACTGAGAGCAACTGACTGATCCTCGGCCCCCTCCCTCTCACATGCAAAACGTGGATTGACTGAAAGCTGATCAAAGCCTGGAAAGAATGCAGCTGCTCGACCCTTCTACACTCCCCTTTCATTTCTCTTTTCCCTACTTCCCCCTCTTTGCCTTTAAATACTGAAGTCCCCAAACCATCTTTGGAGGAAGCATGGATCACAGACGTTCCTGTAATTCTGTGCTCCATTTTCCAGGCCATATTGTGAACCTTGGCAAAACAAACCTTTATTGATTGAGACTCGCTTTGGTCATTTTCTTTGGTTTTACATCTATCTGCAAGAAGAAGTCAGATAAAGGAGCCCAGTCTCGCCATTGGTAGGAGGTGCATTAAGTGAAATATGTTAGGTCGAAAAGGCGTGTTGCCAATTAATATGTGTAAGCCAAAAATAAAATCCTAAGACCCCCAACCAACTGGACAGACTCCCCCCCCCAACCCTTGGCCAAGAGGACCCCATAGAAACGTGAAAAAGTGAAATATAGGCCATGATGGGAAGGAAGGTCGGACACCCCTCCGTTTTGCAGTTTAGGCAGAACTGACCAGCATTAAAATAGGATTAAAAAATAGGATTAAAATAGAGATCCTAAAGCTGACAGAACAGAGCTTTTGGCAATAAGCTACCGAATTCCAACCTGACTCTGGTATGGTATCATGTGACAGATGGCAGACCCTGAAGACAATCAAAATATTTTACCTCGGCTGGGAGTGGTGGCTCATGCCTGTAATCCCAGCACCTTGGGAGGCCAAGATGGGCAGATCAACTGAGGTTAGGAGTTTGAGACCAGTCCGGCCAACATGATAAAACCCTGTCTCTACTAAAAATACAAAAATTAGCCGGGCATGGTGGCAGGTGCCTGTAATCCCAGCTACTTGGGAGGCTGAGGCAGGAGAATCGCTTGAACCCAGGAGATGGAGGTTGCAGTGAGCCGAGACCGCACCATTGCACTCCAGCCTGGGCAACAAGAATGAAACTCCGTCTTAAAAAAAAAACAAATTATCTCAAAATATATTTCCTTGACATATTTTGAAATGGACCTGTAAAGCTGTCTTTTGTGGGGAAAATTTGTATCTGTAGATAATTCTCGTCCCTTTCTAGGTCTTTCCCAGATCTAAGAGATTAATTGAGTCTGAGCTTTAAGGTCTGAAAAGAAACATACTATATTCTCTCTAAGGCTGCTACCTGGAGCCTTCATTTACATAGCAAGAACCTTGGCTTCCACAATCCTCCTTATCTTTTTTTTTTTTTGAGACAGGGTCTCACTCTGTTGCCCAGGCTGGAATGCAGTGGCACAATCTCGGCTCACTGCAACCTCTGTCTCCCGGGCTAAAGTGAGCATCCCACCTCAGTCTCCAGAGTAGCTGGGACTATAGGCATGCACCACCACACCTGGCTAATTTTTTTGTTTTTAGTAGAGACAGGGTTTCGCCCTGTTGCCCAGGCTGGTCTCGAACTCCTGGGCTCAAGTGATCCAACCACCTTGGCCTCCCAAAGTGCTAGGATTACAGGCCTGAGACATCGTGCCCAACCAAACCCTCCTTATCTTAACCCAAGCATTTACTTCAATTCTTTAGACAAAGCTTAACTCTTTCAACCAATTACCAATCAGAAAATCTTTGAATCCACCTATGACCTGTAACACCACCTCCCCACTCCACTGGAGGACATTTCACCTTTGCTGGCCAAACCAAGGTACACCTTACATGTATTGATTTATGTCTTTGCCTATAACTTCTGTCTCCCTAAAATGTATAACGCCCAGCTGTAACCTGACCACCTTGGCACATGTTCTCAGGCTCTCTTGAGACTGTACTCAGCCCTTGGTCACTCATATTAGCTCAGAATAAGCCTCTTTACATATCGTCCAGTTTGTTTTTATCATTGACATGTGCATACAATGAGTCTAGTTCCATAAAAAGAAACAAAATCTCCATGTGTATAGATATTTGTTTTTAATCTGTTTATAAGCAAGGGGAAGGCGTGGACAGACATTTTTCAGGTTTTTTAAAACAGTGCCTTAGTTTTGTTTTAATATACCTTTGTCCTCTGAAATGGACAGAAGCCACGTGAGGCACATGGAAAAGTTCCACTCACCCTTTAAGGAAATCAAAATATTTTGCCCATAGTTACACGTCTTTGACATATTTTGAGATGGCTGTTCAGAGAGCCTGCACACAGATGCCACCTTGCAACGCTGTCTTGTGGGGACATTAGTCTCTGTGGAGAATCTGCATGGACACAGCCAGGCTTCCTCTGCACCCCTCCCTTGTCCAGATCTAGGAAAGATTAACCAAGACTCTGCCATCTTAAAGGTCCAAAAGGGACATTTACCTCTATTCTCTCTGACGGCTGCTACCTGTGAAATTTTATTTCCTTCTTTATTTTTGAGACAGATTCTCACTCTGTCATTCAGATCTTGGCTCACTGGAGTCTCTGTCTCCTGAGTTCAAGCGATTCTCCTGCCTCAGCTTCCCAAGTAGCTGGTGGTACCTGTGGCGCCCACCACCAAGCCCAGCTAATTTTTGTAGTTTTAGTAAGGACAGGGTTTCACCATGTTGGCCAGGCTGGTCTCGAACTCCTGACCTCAGATGATCCACCCACCTTGGCCTCCCAAAGTGCTGGGATTACAGGGGTGAGCCCCCATGCCCAGCCTGTTTATTTATTATTTATTTATTTTGCTTTGCAGGCCACCTTTGCTAGCCAGGCCTTCTCTTCTCCCCCTCCCATAACCTGTCTTGCTGCCATCCAAGCCCTTTTTCTTTCTGTAACCTCTAGATGCCTCTGGCCACTTCTTTGCATGCTTACATTTTGTATGACCCCCGTGCATGGCAATACTTTGGTATATACCTTGTTTCCTTTAGTCTGCCTTTTGTCAGTTGATTTTTCAGCAAACCTTCAGAGGATGAAGGGGGAGTTTTTTCTTGGCCCCTGCACTATCTGGCCATCTTGCCCAGAAAGAAGGCACTGGAACAAGGTCCTAAAGTTTGAGATAAGGCAGCTACCAGAAATTAATTAGGGAGTGCCCCATGTTGACAGAGGATCATATTTTTAAATTGAAACTCTTTTCCTGCTGAGACTGTTCTGTGTTACAATTCACGTGTGACCATGAGGTTCACAGAACAGGCAGTGGCATCTAGTAAACTAAGCTTCAGGGTAAATAGAATGTTGGCGCCAGCCACTTCAACTTGCACTAGTGAATATGTCAAGACTTGTCCTCCATTTATTAACCATTAGCTAGAATGGAAGCGTGTGCCTATCTGAGCCTGTGTGGCTGACATTTAAGCTGTGGCTCATCATGGGATTCCATAGCTGATCCTGACATCAGCTAGAGTTTCATGGACATCTGGAAAGTCGGAGTTCTGGGAAGGATGACATTTTTGTGGGCTGGAATATAAGGGTTGGGATTATGGCAGCCATTTGGAAGCTTCCTCCCCTGCTTATTGTGTGGGGTTAGTGGATGGATGGTCTTTGTCAGCATCTCGAACTCTCCTAAGTTTCTTTCAGGCGCACTGTTTACTCTTTTTTTTTTTTTTTTGAGACGGAGTCTTGCTGTCTCCCAGGCTGAACTTCAGTGGCGTGATCTCGGCTCACTGCAAGCTTCGCCTCCCAGGTTCACACCATTCTCCTGCCTCAGCCTCCCGAGTAGCTGGGACTACAGGCGCCCGCCACCACGCCCGGCTATTTTTTTGTATTTTTAGTAGAGATGGGGTTCCACCATGTTAGCCAGGATGGTCTTGATCTCCTGACCTCGTGATCCGCCCATCTCGGTCTCCCAAAGTGCTGGGATGACAGGCGTGAGCCACCGCGCCCGGCCCTCTTCTTTTTGATGATGACACCCAGGATGGTAATTGCTACCTCCGTGCATAATTGAAACTTTAAAAGAGGCGATTCCGCATCAAGCATGCAATGGAAGAAACTGGAAACTTGTGTCTGGTCTTCATCACACAATGTAAGTAAAGAAATGTGTGCAGCGTGCTGACTTATTTTATTTAGCAATTCTGTGCATATCCTCTAGGGCTTTCAAGTCCCTGCTGTGGACAATCTGCATGTGACAGCTGAGACAGGAGGAAGAGGCCCAAGGGAACGCATTCCTGCTAGGACAGAGCTGGCTGGCTGCACAGTGGAGAGTGTTTGCTGGAAGCTGCTACCAGCCATGGGGCACCTACCCGCCCAGCGGCCCTTGCATCCAGGTGGGGCTGCGTGAGTGGCTTTGACCAGTGGGTACCACTTCATGATCTAATGTGATTCAGGGTGTGTTATGGGCTAAGTTATGTCCCCGCCCCCAAATGTATATGTTGACATCTTAAGCCCCTGTATCTCAGAATGTCACTATTGTCATATTTGAAGATAGGGTCTTTAAAAAAGTAATTAAGATTCAATGATGTCATCAGGGTGGGTCCTAATTGTAAGGTCCAAGAAAAGCTGTTCCTTCACCCTCTGAAAATCAACTCACAAAAGGCAGATTAATAGAAGAAATGGCATACAAACGTATTAACATACATAGAGGGAAAATCACAGAGTGGTTACCCCAAGCCCCTGATGGTGTACGGAGCTTGTATGCCATCTTTTCTTTTTCTTTTTTTTTTTTTTGAGACAGGGTATCACTCTGTCGCCCAGGCTGGAGTGCAGTGGCACAATCTCAGCTTACTGCAATCTCTGCCTCCCAGGTTCAAGTGATTCTTGTGCCTCAGCCTCCTGAGCAGCTGGGATTTGTTTACCATCTTGAGGTTACAGAAAGAATAGGGCCTCAGAGCATAACCAAAAACAGGTACGGTGGTGAATGAGGTTACGGTGGCAAGACAGGTTTTGGGAGAGGAGCAGAGGCCCGGCAGTGGTCTTGTCATGTAGATGGAGCGTCAAGGGTAGCATCCCTTAGAGAGAATAGGTGGCAAATGTTCCTTTCAGACCTTTAAAGGTAGCAGCCTCTCAGTTCATCTTTCCTGGATCAGGGCAAGGGACGGCCTCAGAGAAAGCCTGGCTGCACGGATGCAGGTTCTCTACAGACACAAGTCTCTCCACAAGACAGTGTTGCAGGGCGACTTGTGTCTGTAGGCCCTCTGACAGCCACCTCAAACTATGTCAAAGAAGTATTTTTTTTGGGTGAAATATTTTGGTTTCCTTCAGTCCCCATTTTGAAACTGTACTTTCAGAAAGTTTCACATCAAAGCCAAGTTGATAGCTTTGGGTTACAGGTTGTTAGATAAGAGATAGGCAAAGGAAGGGAAGAACACATTGGGATACGCAGAAAGGAACAACTTTATACCATCCCATACCTTCTTGAACCATTCTCTTTTTTTTTGAGATGGAGTTTCGCTCTTGTTGCCCAAGCCAGAGGTGCAATGGCACCATCTTGGTTCACTGCAACCTCCACCTCCTGGGTTCAAGCAATTTTCCTGCCTCAGCCTCCTGAGTAGCTGGGATTACAGGCATGTGTCACCACACCCGGCTAATTTTTGTATTTTTAGTAGAAACGGAGTTTCACCATGTTAGCCAGGCTGGTCTCAAACTCCTGACCTCAGATGATCTGCCCGCCTTGGCCTCCCAAAGTGCTGGAATTAGAGGTGTGAGCCACCGCGCCCTGCCTGAACCATTCTCTTAGTCCTGAGAATAGATCAATTCAGTTAAATAGCTGTGTCTCATTTCAGGAGGCGGCCTTGCAGGCGAGCTCTCAGAGCTAGGCCTCTACATAGGATGCAGGTAAACAGGTCTCTAGTAAGAGGCACCTCTATGGAAACAGAAGGAAAACAAAGGTTTATGTCTGGGATAGTCTAGTAGACCAGTTTTCTTAGAACCTGAAGCATATTCAGATTTCAGTGGCAATCTGACAGATTTTTCTGGATTGCAGTTTGAATCGTGTGTTCTAGTCGACTCTCTGAGTAGTCCCTGCATCCACAGGAACAAAGGCTGTTTATAGATGAGTGACTGTAGGAATTTCTCCCGAAGTTTATATTAAGTTGTCTAACTTCAGTTTGCAGGGCTTTAAGAAAAGCATAGTTTTATTTTCTAGTGATTCCAAGTCAGAAAAAATTGGAGAAAACTTTGAAAATGTTAGTTTGGAGGCTTATAGCCAGGAAAGGATTCAGGATTTAGTCCAAATTGTAGGTTAAAAATAAAAACTCAAAAACAATGGACAAGGCTATAATCTAATAACAGGTATACTATAGCTTTCTTCTGTTAAAAGAAAAACTTCAGCTGAGTTAAATTCAAAGGAGTTTTAATCGAACGATGAACAATTTGAGAACTGGGCAGCTCCCAGAATCACAGCACATTCAGAGAGATTTCAAGGGGTGCCTCATGGTCAGAACAAATTTACAGACAAAAAAAGTAAAGTGACATACAGAATTCAGAAGTGAGATATAGGAACAGCTGAATTGGTTACAGCTCAGTGTTTGCCTCATTTGAACACAGTTTGAACACTCAGCAGTGTATGACTAGTTGAAATATGGCTGCTGGGATTGTCCAAGACTCAGCGATTATTACAGGCACAGACTCCTAGGACAGGTTTTCAGTCTTGTCTACCTATGAAGTTAAGTTGCAGTTCATCCACAAGGACTCAAATATAGAAGTACAGAGTCCTTCTCAGGCCATATTTAGTTTGCTTTAACACTTCTGAATCATAATTTGTCTCTCTCCAGTCCCACCTTTATACCAAGAATATTATGACCAATTTATTTGCAAAATAAGTTTTAGTATTATTGTACTTGGCCTGTTTATTTGCATAAAGTGCAGCACAAATAGTAATTGGCCACATAGGCTCCTTTTAAATTGGCTTTGCTGAAATATTTTCATAAGGAATCTCCAGTTAGACTTTCAAAAGCCTCTTGAGGCTAGAAAGCCAAGTCAAAATTTCTTCATCGGGCTGTGTAATACCTGAATGAGTCAGTGAATTCCTCTCTTCTTGAGGTTCCCGATATTTCTTGAGGTTCCTGGGTCTGTCAGAAAGTGACATTCTTTACTTACCACAGGTCAGAAATCATGTAAGGAAACCACATAGACAAGGCTGGTCTTTCCAAGGGGCTTTTTATCAGCTCTAGGAAGTCAACTTCAATTCCTCACAGCAGTTTGGTTATATTTAAAAATATGCTGGCTGGGTGTGATGGCTCATGCCTATAATCCCAGCACTTTTGGAAGCTGAGGCAGGCAGATCATTGAGGTCAGGAGTTCAAGACCAGCTTGGCCAACATGGTGAAACCCTGTCTCTACTAAAAATACAAAACTTAGCTGTGAGTGGTGGCAGATGCCTGTAATCCCAGCTACTCGGGAGGCTGAGGCAGGGGAATCACTTGAACCCAGGAGGCAGAGGTTGCAGTGAGCCGAGATCGTACCACTGCACTCAAGCCTGGACGGCAGAGAGAGACTCCATCTCAAAAACAACAAAAAAAATGCCATTCCAGTCAAAGCCCTGATAAAATAATTAGCATTACAACTGTGTCCTGTTACAGAAGAAAACAGATTCTTATTAAACTTATGCAAATAACTATGTTGCCATAAAATAAGAATACTTTCAAATAGTTTCTGAATTCTGGAGAAATCAGTTAGAGAGAAAGGTACGTTTGAATTTTTCTTACAAAAGTATACTTTACCCAATTGCTGTAAGCCATAAATAGCTCAAAAGAAAAAAAAAAAGTTTTCTTGACTCTGGAAAACAAAACATAAAGAGAATCAGCACTATTTCAAACAAAAAGTCATAAAAAAGCATTTTGGTACTCTATCAGTTCAGTTCCATGTAATTAACTTTTGTTCTACTTGATGTTGGGTTAGCAATCCTCATGAATGCATCAACTTTTTAATTACAGTCTAGGAAAGTTTTACCTAATCCAGTGGTTTTATCTCCAAATTTATTAGTAACCTGCATTTAAGAGTACTTGTCAGGGTCCTTTCCATGCATTTCCTTCAAGAAGAAGCAAATTTTGTACTGTAGCACATTGTAAACTACTTTTTGAAAAGAATTAAAGTAAATCATTGTCTGTGGATGACAAAAGAATTAGAATGGCTATGGTTAAAGACACAATTGACAAGAAAATTTGGTTATTTCTGTGGCATACAACAGTTTAACATAATAAACATGATTGATAACATAGACAAAGACATCAGAATTTTAGGAATCTCGTACGATTTTGAGACACCTATTAATAATACGCTTATACAAATATAACTCAAAGAAAGTTAAAGACCATTCTTGTTTGACAATCCTTCCCGTAGGATTTTAACGTATCAAATAAGTCTAATATGTCTCTGTTGGACTTCCAGGTTCTTTTAGTTATATTTAAACTATTTCAAAAAGCAAAAACTTGAGCTGGAGGCCATTATCCTAAGCAAACTAACACAGGGACAGAAAACTAGACACTGCATGTTCTCATTTATAAGTGGGAGCTAAACAGTGAGTGTGTATGGACACAAAGAAAGGAATAACAGACACCAGGGCCTGCTTGAGGGTGGAGGGTGAGGGCAGAAAAACCACCTACTGGGTATTGTGCTTATCACCTGTGTGATAAAATTATTTGTACACCAAACCCCCACAACACGTAACACACAATTTAGCTATATAACAAACCTGCACATGTACCCCTGAACCTAAAAAAAAAATTAAAAAACAAAAACTTAGCTCTTTGATAGACAGGAGAAACTCAATTTTTAAAACAATCAAAAGACCTAATAAAGACAGCATGAGGCAAACCCTCTTCTTTTTTTTGTCATTTACTCAAAAGGTAAGCAAAAATCTTTTACTACTTTTTGTTAATACTATATGAACATCTTGTTCAAACACAAAACCAAATTCTATCTTTGCATCAGTGTATTGACACTAAAGCTAATTTTAATAAAACCTTATAAACAGATTCATCCAATCTCAGTCTTAACCACACAAGATAAGATTTCCATAAGCCTTTTAGAAGCTTTGATAATTTTTTCCATTCTCTTTTGCTCTTCAAGTTTCTCTGTCTATTCAGTTTTATCGTTCTTTTTTCCCCTTCAATTTAAAACAGCACTTAAATTACCCTTACACTGACAAAATTGCTTTTCTTTTAACAAAAACTACATTCTCATGCCTTCTTTATAGCCTTCCTTACCAAAACACCTCCTACTTTTCCTGTGCATTTTGCATGAGAAGTGTCTGTCTTGTATCTAGTAGTTTTAATTACATATATTAATTATAATGTTATCTCTTGGTAACTCTAATTTTCAGTAAAAAACCTAGGCAGTAATCCATTTTAATTGTTATGTATCAGATGCAGAGCCCTGGACAAAGGACGGAGCTGTGAAAACAGTGCCTGGAGGATCTGATCCCTTCTAGCAAGGCCAAGAGACACGGCTGGGCTGGGGAGGACGGGGTCTCCAGGCCTCACCATGGCCACTTATCTAGACGCCAGCATCAAAAGGTTCAAAGCCCAGGTCACAGGCTCATGAAAAAATTAAGCAGGTATCAAAAAATATCACAAAGGCAACAGTTTTATGACATGAAAACATCTATCAGAGACAATATAAACCTGTCTGCTAATAGAACCAGGTAAAACTGTCTAAATTAAATTCCGAAGAAATTTCAATTTTATTTTACTAATGATTTTAAAAACTAGCTTTATTTACCCAACATGACTAAAGTCCCATTGACCTGAAAAGCATTTGGGCTTATTTACTTAATTTATGAGTACTCCTTTATTTATAAGTCTATTCAGTACCATGTAGACAATGTTCAAACACAGACATATGCACGCATACATAAAAATACAAATGAACACAAAAAAATAAAGACTACATGCTTTTATTTTTAAAATTTTAGCCATGAGACTGGTAAAATTCACTAGTTTAAAAGGACAGTTGTATTAAATTGTGTCTCTGTAAATGGAACAATTTAAAATGTATCTGTCCTACATGGTTGAAGTCCTTACCTTACAGAGTTTTAGAGAAAGCAGGGTAGCAAATTTACATCTCAAAGCACAGAGAGAATTTTAGCTTTCTCAAGGAGGAGTTTGAGTGTGTTAGAGCAAGATTAAAAATGGATTTCAAGGTAACAAAAAGTTATAGAAATCCACCACAGGATGTTTTTCATTTTGTTTTTGGAGGCAGGGTCTCACTCTGTCGCTGAGGCTGGAGCGCAATGGCGCAATCATGGCTCACTGAAGTCTCGACCTGGGTTCAAGCAATCCCTTTGCCTGAACCTCCTGAGTAGCTGCTACTATAGGCACACGTCATCAACCTGGCTAATTTAAAAATATATATATATTTATATATAAAATATAAAATATATTCTAATATATTTATAATATTTTATATATTTATAATATAATATAAATAATATGTGATATATATTATATATCATATATGATATTGCATATATTATATGTGATATATAATATATAAAAATATTTATATATTTAAATATATTTTTGTATTATAAATATAATATATAAATATATATTTTTTATATTGTAAATATAACATATAAATATACATACTTTTTATAGAGATGGGCCCCTGCTATATTGCCCGAGCTGGTCTCAAATTGCTGGGCTCAAGCAATCCTCCCATCTTGGCCTTCCAAAGTGCTGCAATTACAGGTGTAAACCACCACACCTGGCCATGCCATGGCCCCCACAGGATTTTATAATGAGACTAATTTTAATAAGTATAATCTCTGTTTTCCAACTGGGCAACTGAACTCATTAACAGATCCAACAAAGCATTTGCAGTTTTCAGGGTCTAATATTTAAATATGTGAAAACCAGGCACAGCTGAAAGGCAGAGCCTCTAGATCTTTACATATCAAGGATCCTGCTTTTACACTGAATCTTGAGTCCCCCTGAGAGGTGACAGCATACTGGCAGTCCTCACAGCCCTCACTCGCTCTCGGCGCCTCCTCTGCCTGGGCTCCCACTTTGGCGGCACTTGAGGAGCCCTTCAGCCCACCACTGCACTGTGGGAGCCCCTTTCTGGGCTGGTCAAGGCCAGAGCCGGCTCCCTCAGCTTGCGGGGAGGTGTGGAGGGAGAGGCGCCAGCGGAACCCGGCTGCGCGTGGTGCTTGCGGGCCAGCGCGAGTTCAGGGTGGGCGTGGGCTTGGCGGGCCCCGCACTCGGAGCATCAGGCCGGCCCTGCAGGCCCCGGGCAATGAGGGGCTTAGCACCTGGGCCAGCAGCTGCAGAGGGTGTGCTGGGTCCCCCAGCAGTGCCAGCCCACTGGCGCTGCACTCGA
This sequence comes from Homo sapiens, assembly GCF_000001405.40. Classification (NCBI taxonomy): domain Eukaryota; kingdom Metazoa; phylum Chordata; class Mammalia; order Primates; family Hominidae; genus Homo; species Homo sapiens. The sequence goes on along the minus strand of NC_000006.12, from coordinate 1,457,144 downwards.
TTTCTCTCCGGGCCTTAGCTGCCTCCCCGCGGGACAGGGCTCAGTAACTGCAGCCCGCCATGCCTGAGTCTCCCAACCCCTCCGTGGACTCCTGTGCGGCCCGAGCCTCCCCGACGAGCGCCACCCCCTGCTCTACGGCGCCCAGTCCCATCGACCACCCAAGGGCTGAAGAGTGCGGGCGCACGGCGCGGGACTGGCAGGCAGCTCCACCTGCAGCCCCGGTAGGGGATCCACTGGGTGAAGCCAGTTGGGCTCCTGACTGGTGGGGACTTGCAGAACCTTTATGTCTAGCTAAGGGATTGTAAATACACCAATCGGCACTCTGTATCTAGCTCAAGGTTTGTAAACACACCAATCAGCACCCTGTGTCTAGCTCAGGGTTTGTGAATGCACCAATGGACACTCTGTATTTAGCTACTCTGGTGGGGACGTGGAGAACCTTTGTGTCTAGCTCAGGGATTGTAAACGCACCAATCAGCACCCTGTCAAAACAGACCACTGGGCTCTCTGTAAAATGGACCAATCAGCAGGATGTGGGTGGGGCCAGATAAGACAATAAAAGGAGGCTGCGGGAGCCAGCAGTGGCAACCCGCTTGGGTCCCCTTTCATACTGTGGAAAGTTTGTTCTTTTGCTCTTTGCAATAAATCTTGCTGCTGCTCACTCTTTGGGTACACACTGCCTTTATGAGCTGTAACAGCGCAAAGGTCTACAGCTTCACTACTGAAGCCAATGAGACCACGAACCCACCAGAAGGAAAAGACTCCGAACACATCCGAATATCAGAAGGAATGAACTCCAGACAGGCTGCCTTTAAGAACTGTAACACTCACCGCGAGGGTCCGTGGCTTCATTCTTGAAGTCAGTGAGACCAAGAACACACCAATTCCGGACACAACCCCAAGTGGGAAATGCCACAGGACTGTGTTGCACAATGCTTCCACAGTACACCTGGCTGCAAGGGCTACCAAATGACCATCAGCCCACTCTGTGGTCAGCTCATCCCCTATGGGAGTCTTATTCCTTCATGGTGAGTGCTCCATAGCCTTTCAAACCACACCTTTCTTATATAAATGCACAAAAAAACGAATAACTCCTGCAGTAATAATCATTCACTGCAAACACTGTCAGCCACCTCCAAGGCTGCAGCCCTTGACAGTGACCTTCCAACCATCACACATACAAAGGCCAGGTGCTTCTTGGCCTTACAGTACAAAGTACTCTCTGGTATCCAGGCCAAAGAGACCTGGTGATGCCGTACAAAGGAGAGCAGGGCTTTAGCCCTGGGAGGAACACGGACCCTGCCTATGACTTTATACACTCCCCAAGGAAGACAGAATAGTGCATAAAAGGATCAAGAAGAGCCTTTTTCTGTGTTCCTCAGGGGGTGGCAGAGTCATTGGAAGTCCTCTCTAGAACACTGCATGTGGTGCTGAAGATGATGGCAAAAGGAAGGAGAGGCAGAAGTGGAAGGAAATGAAAGAACAATTTCTACAGAAGCCAATTTGAGGATACTTAAAGTTTTCCAAAAGGCCAATGAAAATATTACATTTTTCCCCGCAAAAGTTATACCATCAAGGAAGGAAGCAAACAGAAGGACTAAATATACTTTAAAAAGGGGTGTCAGTCAACTGAAAAAAGTTCCCAGAAACAGGATCTAAAAGAGAAAAGGCAGGCCTTTATGTATACATAGCTTGAACATCAGCTTTTAATTAATCTGACTTCTGACCAGAGAGCTCTTAAAAACTTTTTTTTTCAAATCTTTTATTATCATATTTTAGTTGGGACTGGTTCCCTGACTTGGAATTGAATCCAGGCTGTGACCGAGAAAGCATGAAATTTTAACTGCCAACCTGCAGGTAGAGTAGCTTTCATTGTGAATTCCACAAGGTTTTCAAAGCAGGTACTTCCAGTGTACAAGGATTTAAAAAATGCTTTAGGCTGGGCACAGTGGCTCATGCCTGTAATCCCAGCACTTTGGGAGGCCAAGGTGGGTGGATCGCCTGAGGTCAGGAGTTCGAGACCAGCCTGGCCACCATGGTGAAACCCCGTCTGTACTAAAAGTACAAAAATTAGCTGAGCGTGGTGGTGCATGCCTGTAGTCCCAGCTACTCGGGAGGCTGAGCCCAGGAGAATTGCTTGAACACGGGAGGCAGAGGTTACAGTGAGCCGAGATCACACCACTGTACTCTAGCCTGGGCGACAGAGCAAGACTCTGTCTCAAAAAATATATATAATAAATAAAAACTGCTTTAGGTCATTTTTATTTGTTAATTTTTTTTAATAGAGAGGGAGGGTCTTGCCATGTTGCCCAGGCTGGTCTTGAACTCCTGGGCTCAAGTGATCCTCCCACCTTGGCCTCAAAATGCCAGGATTAGGGCATGAGCCTTTGGGTCCAGCCAAGGTCATATATTTTTGCTCTTTAATGTTATCAAGGGAATTTCTAAGGCTAGCCATGACACTGTTATTTGTCTTTTAATTTAATCTTAAAAATAAGGCAATTGTTTAGAAGGAGAGATCTCTAAAATCCTTTTTTTTTTAAATTTAGAAGTCCAATTTTAAGGATCCATCTTTTTACCCCTAACAATTAGAATTTTCAATGGTGTACTTATTCCAACAGCAACTCAATCCAATAGACTCTTCATTGGAAGCCCGAGAAGTAATTTTCCAGGTTTAGGTTAAATTTTTAGCATATGTGCAAGAGGTGTTTCCTGGAGAGGGCACAGAAGAGGCAATTCTAATGATTCTCAAAAAGTCCACTCCCAGGAATAAGCTAAGGTAGCCAAAGCCTGTGGTTGCCACAGATGGTTCAGGATAATGTTTGTGTGTATGATGCCTCCAATAGCCCACAAATTTATGGGGGGGCCACTGGTCACAGACTCATTAATCTCTGACACTGTGTACACCATTTTAGGATTGGACTTTCCCAGGATGACCAGGTCGCAAGGGTTGAGATGACAAAATCCCCTTATGGATGGGACTTCTTGGTAAGACATCTCCCCCTGAGAGCCCGACATGATTGGAGCACAAAGTGTGCTGCTTTAAATCTTATGTATCTCAGATTCTCAGCCATTTTCAGATCGCCCACCTGGTGTGACACAAAAATCTCAGCCCCTGGATGGTGGAGACCAAGAGAGAGCTCTCACTTGGTCACAAGTCAAGCTCGTAGGGACATAATGCAAGATGACAGGGAACCTCATCCAACCTTAATTTAGGGACCCACAGTGAAGTTTTGTCTAAATAGATACAGGTCTGATTAGAACGGTAAAACTGACCAGCCTGCAGGGCCGGCTCCAACGATGGGCTTAGGCCCGTGTGCTATCCTGTGGTACCCTTCTTAATGCAACAACACAGAAAGATAAAGACAAAGAAATAGACTCAGGGAGGAAAAGGGATCAAGCAATATGAACATTCACACTAAAAAGTACTATAGAGTTGCTACACCCAAGACTAGTCATAAATCCTTTGCTCCTGTTAACCAAAACTTTTCAGAGAGTGATTTTTACCATCTGCTCAACCAGATTCCACACAGAGAGGCCAAAGCTGGCTGGTAAATTCTTCCCCTTCTGCCTGCCTGTTAGGTCCTGGGTTCCCTTGACTGTGGCTTCCAGAAGAGAAGAGCTTTGGAGTCCTGCTGAGAGTGCCAAAACTGTGGGGGCCAAGAGATAACTCTCCCTTCACCCTCTGAAGTTTCACTGAAACATCAACCGACAAAAAGCAGATTAATAGGAGAAATGGCATACGAATGTGTTAAGGTGCGTGGAGGGAATATCACAGAGTGGTTACCCCAACCCCTCAATGGTGTACAGAGCTTATATACCATCCTGAGCTTCCAAAAAGAATAAAGGCTAACAGCATATGCAAAACCAGGGATGGTGGTGAGTCAGGTTCTAGCGCCAAGACGGGTTACGGGAGGTAGAGAAGAGGGGGTGTGGCCAGCAAGGTTGGTCTTGTGGTGTAGATGAAACCTCACATTAGCAGCCCTCAGAGAGAAGGGATGGCAAATGTTTCTCTCTGACCTTCACCGTGTCAGACTCTCATGTAATCTTTTCTAGGTCCTTCCCAAGGAAGGGCCTCAGAGAAAGTCTGGCTTCGTCAAAGCGGCTTCTCTATAGAGGTGACTCTCCCCACAAAAGGCAGCATCGCGGGGCTACCTATGTCTGCAGGGCCTCTGACAGGCACCTCCAAATATGTCCGAGGAGTATATTTTCAGATAAAATATTCTGGTTTTCTTCATCATCCAATATGACTGATGTCCTTATAAAAAGAGGAAATCAGGACACACAGATAGGAAAACCCTCATGAGAACACAAGGGAGAAGGCAGCCATGTGCAAGCCAAGGAGAGAGGCCTCAGGAGAAACCCACCCAGCCACACCTCGATCTGGACTTCAGCCTCCAGAATGTGAGGCAACAGACTTCTGCTATTTGAGCCCCCCAGTCTGTGGTACTTTGTGACAGTAGCCTGAGGTGACTGCTGAAGACAGGGTGTGTAACTGCCTTTGCAAAATTATGACGGTAAGATAAATCTGGCATAGTTGACTCCATTTCGCTTCTGACCTCCAAGTGAGACACAGTAGAGGTGGAGTTTCATCCCCACAGGAGCATTCCCACTGATCACACAACCCACACCACTACCTCACTGACACTGTGTTTAACCATGCCTTTTACTTAAAGAATTCCAGAAACCAGCCTTAGGAGATAACCAAGGTTGTGGAGTGTCCCACCTTGGGAAGGAATGCTGAACAATTGATTCGTAGCCTTGTGGCTGTTGGCCAGACCACCAGATGACCTACTATTAATCAAGAGAACCATTACAACCAAATAATGCTGGCCTGCATACCCTACCCTTCACATGCTTCGCCCAGCCCAGCCTGTGCACCCTGTCCCTCATTTCAATTCCCATGCTTTGCCTAATAAGAAAGTCCCACCAGCTCTTTTGAGGGAGTCAGTCAGGGAGTTCTCTTTCTCTCTTTCTCTCCCTCCCATGCTGCCTCCCTTATGCCCAGGCATAAGCTCCAATGAAACCTTGTCTGGAAAACTCTTTCACCCTTATGTCAATTTCTATCTCATTGAGAGCCCACGAGCTCATGGTGGGTAACAAGCTGTCTTTGGTCATTCCTGGGCATAGGCCAGGCTAACGGTGGGAGGAATTTAGTTTATAGTTTAACTTAAATGATAATAAAGTAAAGATGATAATAGTCCTTCCCAGAAGCTAACTCCCTCCTTGCTCACCATCAAAAACTTTGTAAGCAAGAATAGGATTATGAGAGGGGCCTGAACTCAGCTAAGATATAGACATATTTTCTGTCATCTTTTACTGCTTTGGGATTATAGAAAATGTGGCTAGAGGTCACAAGAATTGTGACCTTCCCATTTACAGATAACATCACTATTGTAGAACCTAGGGGCTTTTTTGAGATGTTTTTCAGACTGGCCCCACCCAGACTTGTGACTCAGCTGGTGCAGACTCAATGCTGAAGGACCATTTTTCACACACCTGTTATTTCATCCCCCACCAATTAGCAACACCCATTCCCTAGCCCCCTGCTCATCAAATTGTCCATAAAAACCCTAACCTCTGAGCCTACAGGAAGGCTAATTTCAGTGTTAAGTCCTGTTCTCCTGTGTGGGACAGCCTCCAGTCAATTAGTCTTTCTCTTTTGCAACGCTGTTGTCTCAGTGTGCTGATTTTTGTCGGTGCTGTGGGCAGGAAGAACCCATTAGGTGATTGTAGGTGCACCTTCTCTGTTCTCTTTCTTCCTATCCTTGCTGGGTGGGCTGTGGGTGTCCAGAACAAACTTGGAAACATTGCTGAAGATGGTGGGTCCCCTGTTAGCCTAGGTTCTGCATAACTCTGTGGTTTGGAGCCTGCTGTTGACGATAGTCAGAAATATCCATTTGGGATTTACGTAAATGAGGATCAAATTTGTTTCATATGAAGCCGTGGAAATGTTGAGATTTATTCATTACAACAGTCACAGTTACTCTTTCTAAATGGAGAAACCTTCTGAGTAGATTAAGGGAGGACAGGTGGCCACCCCTGGAAGAAGGGGAGCAGCAGTGGAATGTGAAGTGCTGTCCTCCTCAGCCGCGGAGCACCTGGGGTGGCCTAGGAAGGATGAATTAAAGCTACTAAGATGCCTCATTAATTACTGGGAAAAGAACAATAGCTCAGAGAAGTCTGAGCTCTGTGAGGCACACAGACCCAGAGAGAAAAGAGTATGGGTTTAGCTAATCCCTACCCCTGCACCCATGCCCAGGGGCTAGTGTTTTTGTTTTATTCTTTTGAGACAGGGTCTAGTTCTGTCACCCAGGCTGGAGTGCAGTGGCTCAATCACGGCTCACTGCAGCCTCAACCTGCAATTCTCCTGCTCACACCCCTGAGTAGCTGGGGCCACAGGTGCGTGCCACTGCACCTGGCTAATTTTTTTATTTTTTGTAGAGATGGGGGAGTCTCAAACTCCTGAGCTCATGGAATCCTCCTGCTTCAACTTCCCGAAGTGCTGGGATTGCAGGCATGAGCCACTCAGTCCAGTGACAATTACTTCAGGTAATTTTGTTACTGACAAGCTGCCTCACTCATTAAGTTCCTAGATTTTTGTGACACAACGAACAATGCATAGACAACCAATAGCTGATGTTATTTTAATGTATCTGCTTGGTAAACAATTTGGGAACTACCCCTTCTTTCCCTTTCAAGCCTCCTTGTAACCGTTGCTAATTGGAGGGCATACTCAGGACAACTGGCATCTGTGCTCCCAGCTTGCAACTTGAAACCCTGATCCAAAGAAACTCCCTACTTATGTAAGTTTTGCCTCAGCATCTTCCTTTTAGGTCGGTATTACCATACGGTCCTGGGAGTGGAGAGGAAGTAGATGCTAAAACCACATGATGCCACAAGAAAGACACTAGGATCCAGGACGAGAACCCTTGGTGGAGTGATTCTCATTAAGACAAACTGTGGGTTCCATTCTGCTAACTGATGGCCATGGCAGAGGATGCACAGAGTGTGTGTTTATGTTGGCTTCCACTGTTCGGGCTTTTCATGTTGAGGGTATTGTGCGTGATGCTTTCTGTCTAAGTTATTTAATAGGTCACCCAAGCACCAGGGTAATTAAGAGGTGGGTGGTCTATGTTGAAGGGTAAACAATATAATTCATCTGTGGTCCTTTCAGTTCCCGCTGTTGGAATGAGTTCCACCTTCACAAAGCTCATTCAGAGCTAAAATCAAAAACTGTACTTGGTTGCAAGCAAGTGAATGATCCGCCATCCAAACCCAGGGACCCACTAGCACCTACCTTGGTGTGGTGGGCTGTGAGGGGATCCGAGGTCTGGAGCCATGCAAAGGTGCCAGACTGCCTGCTGCCTCTCTAGGACTGTCCTGCTGCAGTGGGACTGACCTGCAGCTCCTCAAGATGCCAAAGACCGTGTTCTTGCTCATTCCTTTCGCCTCTTCTTCCTTCAAGTTCATGGAGGGGTGTGCCCTGTCCCCTTGGAGTTAGGCGTGGCCACGTGACTTGCCTCAGTCAGGGAAATCTGAGCAGACACACTGGATGCCACTTCCGGGCGGAAGCATTTGGGAGCTGGCACCAGGTTTTCCATGCCATATCCTCCCAGCCAGTGTGATGATGGAGCCCAGGTTGGCATGTGTGAAGCAACCCAGAATACTGAACTCCCCCAGGGAGACAGTTGTCTGAGAAGGTGTCCTAGGCCTTCAATGGACTGAGGAAGAGCTCACCTTTTGTGCAGCTAGACAATGAAGTCTTGGGGTTCATTTGTTCCTGCTCCATCTTGCCCATCCTGATTAAAGCCCAGCCTAGCCCTGTAAATGTCTCTTAATGCCCAGGTGGGTTCTGAGGCTGCTACTTGTGTCTCAATATCTGTTCTCCTCTTATTTCTTAGATTAACAGAGAATTTTTAGCAGGGCAGAGAGGTGCATACGACAAAGGTGACATTGCCCTGCCTCCCCTGAAGCTAGGACGTGGCTGTGTAACTGAGTCCTCGCTGTGTCTGTGCTGGAGTGTCTCTTTGGGATGTCGCCAGTCCATGCCCACAAAGGAGACAGCAGAAGGATGGCAGGGCTCTAAGGCAAAAGGAGTCTGGGCCCCTGACAATTTCACAGAGCTGAACTGCTGCATCAGCTTGGACTCTTAGAGAAAAATAAGTTTCTCTCTCATTTAAGCCACTATGTTTTGGGTCTCTTGTAAGGAAGCTGAGCCTACATCATGATCAAAACATTTATTTGAATTCTCTTGAATGCAAAGGCTCCAGGAAGCAAAAGGTCCTAAAACCAAGGTTTTTCAGAGAAACTGAGAGCACTCATGTTACTGAAAGTTTATCAAGAGACTTGAAGTCAGATATGTAAGAGTCATTTTCTTCCTCCGAAACTGTAAATTACGGAAACTAGTCTCTTCAGAATGAAGCAAAGGCAAGACTTGGGAATGACGGGAAGAGAAAACTTGGGGATGGAATGGATCACTTTGGCAGCTAAGAAGGAGTCTGGGCAGTCAGCGGGCAGACTGGTGATTTGCATTCTTATTCACAAGAATCCTTTTGTAGATCAGGCTAAATAGTTCTTTTCAAAAGAAAACAAGTGTCTGCATGGGATCATGTTTATATTAAAAGCTAGTAAAGTGGCATTTTAAATGTGCCACCAATGTGTAGCTACCTATGCATGGCTGCAACCCACAGCAGCAATGAAAATTCCTTCTGAAATGCCTCAGAAGGATGTGGAAAGGAGGAAACGCTCGCACACAGCTGGTGGGAATGTAAATGAGTACAACCTCATGGAAAACAGTGTGGAGATTTCTGAAAGAACTAAAAGTTGATCTACCATTCAATCCACTAATCCCACTACTGGGTATATACCCAAAGGAAAAGTCATTATATCAAAAAGGCATCTGTATGTTTATTACGGAACAATTCACAATTACGAAGATATGGAACCAACCTAAGTGCCCATCAACAAATGAGTGGATAAAGAAAACCTGATACAGGCCGGGCGTGGTGGCTCACACCTGTAATCCCAGCACTTTGGGAGGACGAGGTGGGCGGATCACGAGGTCAGGAGATCGAGACCATCCTGGCTAACACGGTGAAACCCCGTCTCTACTAAAAATACAAAAAATTAGCCGGGCGTGGTGGCGGGCGCCTGTAGTCCCAGCTACTCGGGAGGCTGAAGCAGGAGAATGGCGTGAACCCGGGAGGCGGAGCTTGCAGTGAGCTGAGATCGCGCCACTGCACTCCAGCCTGGGCGACAGAGGGAGACTCCATCTCAATAAAAAAAAAACAAAAAAAAACAACAAAAAAACAAAAACAAAAAACCCTGATACATATGCACCATGGAATACTACTCAGCCATAAAATAGAATGAAATGATGTTTTTTGCAGCAACTTGGGTGGGACTGGAGGCCGCTATTCTAAGTGAAGTAACTCAGGAATGGAAAACCAAATACTGTATATTCTCACTTATGAGTGGGAGCTAAACTATGGGAATGCAAAGGCATACTGAGTGGTATAATGGAGACTGGAGACTGGAGACTCAGAAGGGGGGAGGGTGGGGGGAAAATGAGGAATAATGAACTGCATATTGGAGGCCAGGTGCAGCAGCTCACACCTGTAATTCCAGCACTTTGGGAGGCCAAGGTGGGTGGATCACTTGAGCTCAGGAGTGTGAGACCAGCCTGGGCAACATGGTGAAACCCCATCTCTACAAAAAAATTTAAAAATGTTCTGGGTGTGGTGATCTTCACCTGCAGTCCCAACTTCTTGGGAGGCTGGGGCAGGAGGATCTCTTGAGCTCAGGTGGTTGAGGCTGCAGAGAGCTGTGATTGGGCCACTGCACTCCAACCTGGGTAACAGAGTGAGACCCTGTCTCAAAAAAACAAAACAGAAAAACTACATATTGGGTAATTGTACAGTATTCAGGTGATGGGTGCACTAAAATCTCAGACTTCGCCATTATACAATTCATCCATGTGGCCAAAAGCCACTTGTACCCTACTGAATTTTTTTTTTTTAAAGGAGGTCAGCTCTCTGTTGGGGAAAAATAAACTGAAAGTTTCATCCACTGCGAAGAGTTACGGGTGGCAAAGAGATGGAGCTGTCACTGTTATGGAGGCGATTTGTTTTTCTAATCCTCAAATTTAATGTTGTAAGTTTTACAAATAGCTAAAATTAGGACAGAGGTAAAACACATCACTAACATTGTCTGATCTCAAGCCCATCCAGTTCGGGAGTGAATCAGAGTTCTGCCAGTGTGTCCGTTTTCATTACTGATTTTACCCCAATCCTGAGCACACCAACTATGAAAACAGACTAAATACAAATACCTGAAAAGCAATCAACCTGTCAGACACAAATAAAAACTTTAATGAAGGGAATAATCTGTCTTTTCTTGGACTAGAAGACAGTATTTTAAAGGATAATTTCCCCTAAATTATTCTATTTAATTCAGTATCATTAAAGGTAAACATCTCAACAGAATTTGGGGAGAACTTGACAAAATTATTCTAAAGTTGAGCTGGAAAATAAATATTTGAAAATAACAGAGTATTTTGGAAAAGAATAATAAGGGAAGAATTGTCTTATACAAATGAAATACATTCTTAGAGTAATAAAACAGTTACAGTCATAAAAACAGTGTGGTCCCGGCCCCGGAACAGACAGGTAGATTAATGGACTGGAACAGAAGGTTCAAAATAGACTTCCACAGACCTGGAAATGCCGCGCGAAGAAAGACACAGTGTCAACTCAGAAATAGAAAACAACCTAGTAAAAAAAAATTGGCACAAGATTTGAAGAGACACTTCCCCAACGAAGATCTATAAATGGCCAATAAACTCATGGAAAGATGCTCCACGCCATTACCCATTAGGGGAATGAGACGCTGCTACAAGCCTGCTAGAGCGGGTTGAGAAAAAAGCCAGAACGACACAGCGATGGAAAAGAGCAAGTGCTGATGATGGGACCCTGGGCGACGGCAACTCCCACGCGCTCCCCGTGGGAAGGCAAAGCGGGCCGCTGCTTTGGAGAACAGCAAGAGGTCTCAGAAAGGTAAGAAACTTCCTAGACGCCATGGCCCAGTAACGCTACTCCTGGCCTTCTGCCCAGGACAAATGAAAACGTATTCTCTCCAGAAAACCTGTAGGCAAGTGTGAATAGCAAGCTCACTCACAACCACAAAGAGCGGAAAACTCCTCAAATGTCCTTTAACTGGTGAATGTGTTACTGGGAAGTGTGGGTTATGAAGGACGTAAGAGTACACCCCAGGAAAGGAGTGGGCTGGCCCGGCTGGGAGCAGCCCTGAGGGCTCTGCGTGGGGCTGTTGATTATATCAGATTGTTTCCTTAAGTTGCTGCCTCTGTCTTGAGTCTCCACCTTGTTCCCGCCCCAAGTTTGGGGATTCTCCTTTACTGTCAGTTAACAGTAAACATGTCAGTTAACATGTGCTGGTGATCAGCATGAATCCTGCCTGATGGCAGCACTGCCCATGTCCGCCACCCCAGGAAGGTCCTATAGCGGTTAAGTTAGTGCCTATTGCGCCTGTGTCTCTTAGGAATTTCCCTTTGCCCTTCTTCCGTTCTGATCAGCACACAGCTATCGACCTTCTGACAGGCTAACTGCAGAGTGAGCAATGACTGGGTGCCCTAAGGAGCGTTTCGGGGTGTCCCCTTCTGCGTTGGAATCTCCCCTCCTCTCTGCTCATGTCCAGCAGGCATGTTTCAGGTGATCCCAAGGGTGTGAGATTTTCCAGAGCTTCCTTTTTCAGGGGTTCCCTATCCTGTTCATGGCTAGCTGTCTGCCTACTCTAGCAAATGGATAAACAGACTGTGGCACAACAGAATACTACTCAGCAGTGAAAAGCAGTCAGCTGTCCACAGACACACACAGCAACACGAGGGATCTCATGGGTTGCTCTCAGTCAAAGAAGCGGTGCTCAAAGGTGCACACCACGCCATTCCATCCTTAGGACATTCTGGAAAGGGCAAGCACTGGGATGGAGAAGATGGAGAAGAGGGCCGTGGACTGCCGTGGGTTAGGGGTGTGGATTCACTACAAAGGTGCAGGGAGAGGGAGTTTTGGGGGGTGATGAAACTGTCCTGTGCCTTGTGATGGTGGTTACACAACTCTACACATTTGCCCAAATCATGCAACTATACACCAGAAGTGAATATTATGCAATGCAAAATATAAAACAAAACTTAAAAAGACATCATGTCATCTTAGAGTTAAAAAATAAATTATCTAATATATGAGGTATGATAACGGGCTGGTGACTTAGACAAAAAATAGAGGTAGAGCTTTACTTCAGACCTCACATGAAAATAACGTCTAGGTGGATTGAGAATCTAATTGTAAATATAGAAATTATAAAATATCATAAGAAAATATGGGTGAATATTTTTATAATCTTGGTTGCAAGAGGTCCTTCAAATGAACAGGTCAGAAATCCCCAAACCCCAAATCCATGTATTTGGTGATATACAAATTGAAAACTACTTTTTTTTTATTTTTTTATTTTTAAGACTGAGTCTTGCTCTGTCGCCCAGGCTGGAGGCATGATCTAGGCTCACTGCAACCTCCATCTCCCAGGTTCAGGTGATTCTCCTGCCTCAGCCTCCATAGTAGCTGGGATTACAGGCATGTGCAACCACTCCCAGCTAATTTTTGTATTTTTGGTAGAGACGGGGTTTCACCGTGTTGGCCAGGCTGGTCTCGAACTCCTGACCTCAAGTGATCTGCCTGCTTCGGCCTGCCAAAGTGCTGGGGAAAATGACTTTGTAACACAATAAAATAAGCATGTTGAAAACTAAATTGGTAAAAATATTTGCAACTCACATACTAAAATATAAATTTCCTTATTAAACAAAGAACTCAAAAGTAAAAAAATAAAAATCCAAATTTGGAAAGACCATGAATTGACAATTTATAAATTAATCGATAAACACCTCATGAATGATTGAAGAAACAATAGAAACAGCAGTTAGCTTTGTTTGTGTTATCAGATTGATCAAAAGCAAAGGAACTGGTAAAGTCTACTAGCAGCAGGATTTAGGAAATGGTAACTCTCATGAGCAATTAGTAGCAGTATAAAGTTGCACAGCCTTTGGGGAGGGCACTATGCATGCTTTGTTTCCCCTAAGAAAATAATAATATAATTGAAAAAATATAGACACTTAAGGATACTTGTTTGTAGTGGCAAAACTTTTTGCTGTAAGTTTTGTGAGCCTTGAAAACTCTAGTGCTCTCTGGGACCTCCAGGTGGGGACTATAATACACAGAAGCTTCTCAAAATTATTGACCAGAGGAACCCTCAATGGGTCACCCATAGGTCATAAAGAGGGGACTGGAAGAATAGTCACTAAAATGTTAATGAAGGCCACGTCTGAGGTGGTGAGATTTTTATTGTTTGTTCTCTTCTGTATTGCTTGAATTCTTTAAGCAATGAACATTTATAATTTTGATAAAGAATAATCAATTTGTTTTCAAAAGGAAGAAAAAGGATCCCATCTATAAAAGGAGAGTAACCTGAAACCTCACTGCAAAGCAAACCCTTCCATAAGTCAGAATGATGTAAAGACAAGAGCCTGGTGTATATAGTAGACACTCAAAATCTTCGAGTGAAACAAAGATCAAGGGGTTCAGAGTTAAAAGATAAACTTTTGTCTGGGCACAGGGGCTGCAGCACTTTGGGAGGCCAAAGTGAGAGAATCACTTGAGCCCAGGAGTTTGAGACCAACCTGGAGAACAACGTGAGAGCCTGTCTCTACAAAAACACACAAAAATTAGCTGGGCATGGTGGTGCATGCCTGTAGTTCCAGCCACTTGGGAGGCTGAGGCGGGAGGACCACTTGAGACCAGGAGGTCCAGGCTGCAGTGAGCCAAGATTGTGCCACTGCACTCCAGCCTGGGCAACAGAGCAAGACCTTGTCTCAAAAACAAATAAATAAATCAAGACAAAGTTTCGAGCCCTCGCTGTTGCTTATACGCTTTAGCACTGGACACATTATTTAACCTCCCTAAGCCTCAGTTTTCTCATCTGTAAAATGGAGATAATGGTATCTATCTTGCTTCACTCACCATAAGTGGCTGTTAAAATGAGCATCAGTATAAAATTACTTTGCTTAAATCCTTGAAATAATTCTAGGAATGGTTACCTTGGGCACCCTGAAGAATCTGAGGCTCAGAGAGAATAACTTTCTCCTCAGTCACATGGACACTAAGTGATGAAACCGACATATAAATTGAACAGACAGAACTAAGCCTCCTCCGAGAGTTACGTGCACCTATGCATACATACATTTTAGAGCTCTGCTACTCAAACTGTGTTCTGCTGACCAGTAGAATCAGAACCACTTGAGAAACACAGTTTCTAGGGCCTGACCTAATGAAACTGATTGTGTACCTTTAGAAGATCCCCAAGTGATTCTGTTACCGAAACGCCAGGGGTGTGGTCCAGGTCTTATTGCTTGTTGCTCAGAAAGCCATTCACTGAGATGAGTTTTGCCAGGGAAGAAGGCTTTAACTGGGTGCTGCAGCTGAGGAGATGGGAGATCTGTCTCAAACCTGTCTCCTTGCTTGACTAAAATTGGGGAGTTTATATAGCGAGGAAGGAGTGTAAAACAGAATTAGGGAGGGGTGAGGAAATGATATGGTTTGCTGTGTTGCCACCCAAATCTCATCTTGAATTGTAGTTCCCATCATCCCTATGTGTTATTGGAGGGATCTGGTAGGAGGTAATTGAGTCATGGGGGCAGTTACCCCAGTGCTGCTGTTCTCATGGTAGTGAGTGAGTCCTCACGATCTCTGATGGTTTTATGAGGGACTTTTCCCTTTTGCTCATTCTTCTCCTTCCTGCCACCATGTGACGAAGGACGTGTTGGCTCCGCCTTCTGCCTGAGGCCTCCCCAGCCATGCTGAACTGTAAGCCAATGAAATCTCTTTCCTTTACAAGTGACCCAGTGTCGAGCATGTCCTTATAGCAGTGTGAGAACAGATTAATACAGGAAGCAATCATGAATGAGCGGACTGGCATCTTCTCTGGATGTGGTGATCTGATGAGTTTCAGCTCCTTTCCTGAGGAAGCAACTCAGATGAGACAAATGTAAGTTTCAAGTTTTAAGATCAGGAGGGTCAATTTCTATGTTTATTCAAAAAATTGTCCCAATTCTATGGGACAGTTGGGCTGGTTTTAATTTGTGTGCACGTCCAAGTGTGAGAGGCATGGTTTTATGGGACATGGTCTAATCTCCAGTACAGTCAGGGCTTCTGCATCTATGGATTCCACCAACTGCAGATTGAAAATTTTCAGAAAATAAATTCTGCAAAGTTCCAAAACCAAAGTTTGAATTTGCTGCGCATTGAGTACTACATTGAATCTACGTGACTGAAGTGACGTGTAGGCATTGTATTAAGTATTGTAAGTAACCCAGAGAGGAGTTAAAGTCCACGGTTCTATGCAAATGCCATGCCATTGTCTATCAGCAACTGGAGGATTCACAGGTTTTGGCATCTGCTGGGGTCCTGAAACCAACCTCCCTGTGGGTAGCAAGGGAAAACTATACATATACATCTCTGTGATAACGAATAGGACTTTTCCATCATTGGTAAGAGCCAGGGTCCTGAAACCAACCTCCCTGTGGATAGCAAGGGAAAACTATACATATACATCTCTGTGATAACGAATAGGACTTTTCCATCATTGGTAAGAGCCAGGGTCCTGAAACCAACCTCCCTGTGGATAGCAAGGGAAAACTATACATATACATTTCTGTGATAATGAATAGGACTTTTCCATCATTGGTAAGAGCCAGGGTCCTGAAACCAACCTCCCTGTGGATAGCAAGGGAAAACTATACATATACATCTCTGTGATAACGAATAGGACTTTTCCATCATTGGTAAGATGACTAACTATTAGTTTCTAATCTGAACTGTTGCTACAAATTGTCCTCGGGAAAATGAAGTTATTTAACTTTAACTTAGCATTTCCCAAATGCTCCTTTTCCACAACAGCAATTAACATAAATGAACAGAAGTAAAGAATTAACTCCGCAGAACACACTTTGAGGAAGATCCATCTACATAACATGTGGGACCCAGTGTGTCAAACAAAAATGTAAGGCCCTTTGTTCAAAAACTATTGGCCAGTTGCAGTGGCTCACGCCTGTCATCTCAGCACTTTGGGAGGCCAAGGCGGGTGGATCATGAGGTCAGGAGTTCGAGACCAGCCTGGCCAACATGGTGAAACCCCGTCTCTACTAAAAATACAAAAATTAGCCAGGTGTGGTGGCGGGCACCTGTAATCCCAGCTACTTGGGAGACTGAGGCAGGAGAATGGCTTGAGCCAAGGAGATGGAGGTTGCGGTGAGCCGAGATCGCGCCATTGCACTCCAACCTGGGCGACAGAGGAAGACTCCATCTCAAAAATAAAATAAAATAATAGAAATAAAATAAAATTATTAAGCACTTTGAGACAGTAACAGGAGAGCATTAAATGGAATTTGGGGGCGGAGGGCTTCTAAACTTGGGCCTTATGTGACTGAATGGGTGTTGCCCTCCTGAAGCTGGCCCTGCATTGGGGAATGTTTACAATTATAAAGAATTGTGACTGGGAAATCCAAACCAGCAGAACTGTGGGATAGAGCCAGATTGGTCACTTCCAAAGCCTTGCTATATTTTTTACAACTTCACATTCTTGCCAGAGGTTAGAGCCTTGAACTCGTAGTCCAGAGGATGGCGATGTCCATCATCCGCCAGTGTCCCCTTGGGCCCTTTTGTAGTCCTTTCCTCTCACCCCTCCCTGCTCCAGTCCCCTCCTCCAAACTTTCTCTCTCTGAAGATTGGTTCTCATTTTCTAAAATTTCATAAAAGTAGAACCAGGCAGTATGATTCTTTTGGGTCAGGCTTCTTCTGCCCAGCAAATTATTTGAAGATGTGGCTCTGTGGCATGTGGCATGTATTCAATAATTCATTGCTCTTTTTTTTTTTTTTTTTGAGTCTCACTCTGTCACCCAGGTGTAAGTACAATGGTGTGATCTCGGCTCACTGCAACCTCTGCCTCCCGGGTTTAAGTGACTCTCCCGCTTCAGCCTCCCAAGTAGCTGGGATTACAGGCACCCACCATCATGCCCAGACAATTTTTGTAAAGATGAGGTTTTACCATGTTGGCCAAGCTGGTCTTGAACTCCTGACTTCAGGTGATCCACCCTCCTTGGCCTCGAAAAGTGCTGGGATTAGAGGCATGAGCCACCGTGCCCAGCCCAGTTCATTGCTTTTTATTGCTGAGTGGTGTCCCATTGAATGGATGCTACTCAATGCATTTATCCTTGAGATTGTGTTTCCACATCTACCCATTGATGGATATGTAAGTTGTTTCCAGTTTGGAGCTCTTACAAATGAAGCTGCTATGAGCCTTCCTGGGTAAGTCTTTGTGTGGTCACATATTTTCAGTTTTGGAGGGTAAAAAGTTAACAATGGACTGTCTGGGTGGGAAGGTGGGCGTATATTTGAATTTTAAAGAAACTGCCAACTCTTTTCTCGAGTGACGGCAGCATTTCTCATTTCCGTCACAGTGTCTGCGAAGTCCGGTTCCTCCGCCTCCTCGTCAACACTGGCTGTGGCCAGGCTATTTAGTTAGCCATTCTGAAAGGAGGGCGGTGGTCACTTACTGTGGCTTGAATTTGTATTTCTTTTTCTTTTTAATTTTATTTTTCATTGAGATAAAATATACACATAAAATTTATCATCTTTACCATTTTTAATTGTACAGCTCGGTGGTAATAATTCCATTTTAACTTGTATTTCTCTAGTGACCAAAGCTGTTGAACATCTTTTCAGTGTATATCTTTGGTCCATTTTTAAAAAATTGGGTTTTTAAAAAAATGATGAATGAGTTTGGAGAACACTTTATATATGCTGCAAGCAAGTCCTTTATCAGATACTCAATTCTCTGTGGATGAAGATTCCATCACAGGCCAGGTGCAGTGGATGCAGGAGTGAAGAAAACCAGCAAAAGTGCGTGCCTGGAGGGAACTTACTGGAATAAGAGGACGGGGTACATGTGGCGGGAAAGGTAAAGGTGGAGGGGTTAGGGGATCAGGCAGACGCTGCACACCAGAGGGCTGGGTACATGCAGGGTAAAGGCTGGGTGGGGGGAGCAGGTGGCTGCTCTGAGGCATGCAGGTGGGAGGCAGGGAGCCTGGCACACGGGGATAAGGGGCCCGGCCAGTGGGAAGTTTGCTGTAGCAGCCCAGGGAGGAGCAGGAGAAGGGAGGGAAGAGGGCAGAGAGGTGACGCCCAGAGGGCTGCAGTAGGGTGCTCCAGGGCAGCTCAGGCTAGTCCCCGTAGGTAAAACCAGGCCCCTAGGGTTCCCCTGAGTGAGACGGGAGGCCCCTGGAGGGGCCGAAGCCGGGACGAGAGGATGTGTAGCCACCGGAGGCTGGGAGACCTGGAGGAGGCTGCAGCCCTGACCCCGGCTTGGCCAGGGTGGTGGGCGTGCTGGAGAAGCATGTTTGGACAGAGGTCTGTTCTGATGGATCAGAGGTGGTGTGTGAGAGAAGGAGGTCACAGTGGAGCTCAGGGCTTTGGATCAGGGCCAGTGAGGGCTCGGGGTCGTGGTGCTCTGCGGGGTTGTGGGAGGATCAGGCTTTTGCATGGAAGATCAGGAGTTTAATTCTGGACGTGCTTCATCTAGGGTAATCTATGGGACAGGAACAGAGGTGCCAGGTAGGCAGGTGATTAAGGCGTTGGGGGAGAGCAACACGTTTGGGAGTGATTAGCATAGCGACTGTTTTGAAAGGCAGGAGCTGGGTGGGATGAGAGGAGAGAGGCTTGGTGCGCTCTAGTGCTTATTGATTAATGAGAGGAAACAGCAGGGGAGACCTGAGGGACGAGGAGCAAGCGAGGAGAGGTGAGTCCTGGAGGCCAGAAAGGAGGGGTCTCTAGGAGGGAGTTGCCGAGAGCCTGCATCAGGTGCCCTGAGAAATCAAAGGAGCTGAGGACTCAGAATGGAAAGGGGCGGAGGTGGGGTGGGGGTGGGGGTGGGGTGGGGGGACTGCCTTTTTATTTAGATGGGAGAAGTTGCCAGAATGTGTGTGTGTGTGTGTGTTGATGGGAATGGAGACCCGAAGGGCAGCCCCGGTGTGAGGCACCCAGCACGGCCCGAGCTCTGACACTGGCAGCCCCTGGGCTCTGAGATTCTTTCCAACCTGTGCTCATTTTTCCAGGCCCAAGACACCGTGCCAGAGACAGCACGAGAAACAATGAAGTCCTTCAGAGGCACAAACTCCCTGCCCAACTGAGATCACTGCCTCTCTCCACCTGCAGCCCCCACATGCGCGGTCCTAGACACCCAGGCCCACACTGCACCTAATGTCCTCACTTTCCCCCCGGGGATAGTTCTTACAATTTAAGGGGAAGATGGTTCTGGGGCCGGTGCAGACTGCGGGCTGCGTCTCCACCTGTTGCCCTGCAGCTTGCCGTGTGGCCAGGCCAGAGTGGATGCTCCAGAGCCTTTGCTGAGTGAATCCAAGACTTGCTTTAAAAACAGACTTTCTTCATTTAAGCTCTGATTTGGACAAATACATCCAAGAAACAGCACACTATCAAAACGAATTTCCACACAGCAATGTAAAAACACAGCACAGAAAAATGACAACAGCCTGAGGCCAGAACAAAGACTCCTAGAAACATCTTCATACAACTTAAAATTGGGAGGCTGGGTGCGGTGGCTCATGCCTGTAATCCTAGCACTTTGGGAGGCTGAGATGGAAGGATCTCTTGAGGCCAGGAGTTTGAGATCAGCCTGGTCAACATAGTGAGATCCACCCCATCTCTTAAAAAAACAATTTTAAATTAGGAAATAAGAGAAGTCGAACTTGCCATTTAATGGTGATGAGCATGGAGGGGATACTTTTCCTCGCAGACTGTTTCATTTTCTGGCTGTGATAAAGCCAACACTTGCTTTTTCTGATCACCAGGACGGGGGTGCTCTTGCAGTGCCCACGTCAGGGGGAGTTTTTGGTGTGAGACAGCGTCCAGACTCTTCACTGAAATTCAAGTGCTGAAAGGACTTTCTAAGCCTCAGAGGGAAGTGGAGATGAGATGAGAATCTGACTTTTGCCCCAGTATTTGGCTTGCAAAGATGGAATGTTCCTTTGTGGACTCTGAGAATGCTGTATTAATGTGGAGGTAGAGCTGTTAGGGCCAACGCTAAGAGCTCCCAGTAGAGGGACAGGCTCGCTTTAGAGAAACTCTGTGTCATATGAGTTTTGTCCATGAGATGGCGGTGTCGTATCATAAAAGAAACCTTCCCTTTTAACTATTGCTCTGAAAAACCCGGTAACAACTTTTTAAAAAAAGGCATCTTGCTCCCCCATATCCTGCCTCCCTTGTCTTCTAACCTGGAGTTTTGAGAGGCTCCTGGCTTTCTTCCAACGTTTACATTACACACGTTCTCTTGAATCTAGGTGTCTGCAAAGTATGTGTTCCCTACCATTAGGGCAATGCCTTCTCTGCTGCTGTTTTGTGTCTGAGGCTAATCTTGTCTATCTGCCCTCATGAACATAATTCTGGAGAGCGGGGGGCGGGCAGAGGCTCTGCTGTGGCGTCTAGAGCTGCAGACTTCTCTGCACCCTCCGGGCCCACTGGCGGAGGTGCCCAGATGCCATCAGAGTGAGTCTTTTAGTCCCAGCACCCCTCCAGGAGCTAAGGGGGACCTCTCCTTCCCCTCTCGGGAACAGGTCCACCCTGCAACCACAGATTGCTTTTTTCTTTATTTTTTATTGTGGCCACATAACATAAAATTTGGCATTTTAACCATTTTGAAGTGTGCAGTTTAGTGGCATTAAGTACATTCACACTCTTGTGCAACCATCACCACTACCCATCTCCAAAACTCTTTTCATTTTGTAAATAAATCTCTGCACTGATTAAAGACTAGCTCCCATTCCCCCTCTCCCCAGCCCCTGGCAATCCTTATTCTACTCTCCATCTCCATGAACCTGACTCCTCTGGATACCTCGTATGAGTGGAACCACACAGTATTTATCTGTTCTGAGACCGACTTGCTTTACTGAGCATGATGTTCTCAAGGTTCATCCATGCCGTTGCACGTCTCAGGATTTCCTTCCTTTCTAAAGTTGACTCACACTGCATTGTATGGATGGACGGCCTCTTGTTTGTCCAGTCATCTGCTGATGGACGCCAGGCTGGTTGCACTCCTTGACATTGTAAATAACACTCTTATAAACATGGGAGGCAAATATCTATCCAAGACCCTGCTGTGAATTCTTTTGTGGATGTCCCAGATGGAATTGCTAGGTCAGATGATAATTCTAGGTTACATTTTTTTTTTTTTGAGACAAGGTCTCACTCTGTCGCCCAGGCTGGAGTGCAGTAGTGTGATCTCGGCTCACTGCAACCTCCACCTTCCCAGCTCAAGCAATTCTCCTGCCTTAGCCTCACAAGCAGATGGGATTACAGGTGCATGCCACCACACCCAGCTAGTTTTGTATTTTTAGTAGAGATGGGGTTTCGCCATGTTGGACAGGCTGGTCTCCAACTCCTGACCTCAGGTGATCCGCCCGCTTCAGCCTCCCAAAGTGCTGGGATTACAGGCGTGAGCCACCATGGCCGGCCTCTAGGTTACCTTTTTTGAGTAATCACTGTATAGTTTTCCGCGGCAGCTGCCCAGGGGTTCCAGTTTCTCCACATCCTCACCATCACTGTTCAGTGCATCCTTTTAAGCATTGCTAGGCACATACACCCAGGCTAACATGGAAGAAGAGCTTCCCAGCAGCTTCTTACAGTTCCTGTTGATGTGTATTAATAGGATACCTGCCTTATATTTCCCAGACATTTGGAACATTATCCCTATTAATCAACTCTCCTTCCACTTCCCTCTTTACAACATGGTCATTTTAAATAAAACTACACCAAACTCCTTGTCAGGGAAGCATTATAGAGTTATTTAGTTTCATCTTTGAAAGAAGATGAGGCATAGGAAAGGAGTAACTTTCAAATGTTAACTTATTGATTCTCTAAGCAAAATGGTGAGGTGAGTTTCATAGTCCCAGGTTTTCAGATGAGGAGAAGGAAGTCCAGAGAGGTTAGTGCTCATGTGGGCAGGAGCAGGGGTGTGAATGAATCACAGAAGATTGGCATAGATAATGGTTCATCTATATTATCAGAAAAGCCAGGCTCTGAATTTTAAGTTTTGGGTTTTTTCCCCCTCATTATAAGAATTCTACGGGGCTGGGTGTGGTGGCTCATACCTGTAATCGTAGTGCTTTGGGAGGCTGAGGCAGGAGAATCGCTTCAGGACAGGAGTTCGAGACCAGTGTAGGCAAGATATTGAGACCCCCGATTTCTACATAAAAAAAAAAATTGCTGGGGGGAGGAGCCAAGATGGCCGAATAGGAACAGCTCCGGTCTACAGCTCCCAGCGTGAGCAACGCAGAAGATGGGTGATTTCTGCATTTCCATCTGAGGTACCAGGTTCATCTCACTAGGGAGTGCCAGACAGTGGGTGCAGGTCAGTGGGTGCACGCACCGT
This sequence comes from Homo sapiens, assembly GCF_000001405.40. Classification (NCBI taxonomy): domain Eukaryota; kingdom Metazoa; phylum Chordata; class Mammalia; order Primates; family Hominidae; genus Homo; species Homo sapiens. The sequence continues at coordinate 1,434,587 of NC_000006.12, read as the reverse complement.
GCGCGAGCCGAAGCAGGGCGAGGCATTGCCTCACTTGGGAAGCGCAAGGGGTCAGGGAGTTCCCTTTCCTGGTCAAAGAAAGGGGTGAAAGACGGCACCTGGAAAATCAGGTCACTCCCACCCGAATACTGTGCTTTTCCGACGGGCTTAAAAAACGGCGCACCAGGAGATTATATCCCGCACATGGCTCGGAGGGTCCTGCGCCCACGGAGTCTTGCTGATTGCTAGCACAGCAGTCTGAGATCAAACTGCAAGGCGGCAGCGAGGCTGGGGGAGGGGCACCCGCCATTGCCCAGGCTTGCTTAGGTAAACAAAGCAGCCGGGAAGCTCGAACTGGGTGGAGCCCACCACAGCTCAAGGAGGCCTGCCTGCCTCTGTAGGCTCCACCTCTGGGGGCAGGTCACAGACAAACAAAAAGACAGCAGTAACCTATGCAGACTTAAATGTCCCTGTCTGACAGCTTTGAAGAGAGCAGTGGTTCTCCCAGCACGCAGCTGGAGATCTGAGAACTGGCAGACTGCCTCCTCAAGTGGATCCCTGACCCCTGACCCCCGAGCAGCCTAACTGGGAGGCACCCCCCAGTAGGGACAGACTGACACTTCACATGGCCGGGTACTCCTCTGAGACAAAACTTCCAGAGGAACGATCAGACAGCAGCATTCGCGGTTCACGAAAAACTGCTGTTCTACAAACACCGCTGCTGATACCCAGGCAAACAGGGTCTGTAGTGGACCTCTAGCAAACTCCAACAGACCCGCAGCTGAGGGTCCTGTCTGTTAGAAGGAAAAGTAACAAACAGAAAGGACATCCACACCAAAAACCCATCTGTACATCACCATCATCAAAGACCAAAAGTAGATAAAACCACAAAGATGGGGAAAAAACAGAGCAGAAAAGCTGGAAACTCTAAAAAGCAGAGCATCTCTCCTCCTCCAAAGGAACGCAGTTCCTCACCAGCAATGGAACAAAGCTGGACGGAGAATGACTTTGACGAGTTGAGAGAAGAAGGCTTCAGACGATCAAACTACGAGCTACAGGAGGAAATTCAAACCAAAGGCAAAGAAGTTAAAAACTTTGAAAAAAATTTAGACGAATGTATAACTAGAATAACCAATGCAGAGAAGTGCTTAAAGGAGCTGATGGAGCTGAAAGTCAAGGCTCGAGAACTACGTGAAGAATGCAGAAGCCTCAGGAGCCGATGCGATCAACTGGAAGAAAGGGTATCAGTGATGGAAAATGAAATGAAGCAAGAAGGGAAGTTTAGAGAAAAAAGAATAAAAAGAAATGAACAAAGCCTCCAAGAAATATGGGACTATGTGAAAAGACCAAATCTACGTCTGATTGGTGTACCTGAAAGTGACGGGGAGAATGGAACCAAGTTGGAAAACACTCTGCAGGATATAATCCAGGAGAACTTCCCCAACCTAGCAAGGCAAGCCAACATTCAAATTCAGGAAATACAGAGAATGCCACAAAGATACTCCTCAAAAAGAGCAACTCCAAGACACATAATTGTCAGATTCACCAAAGTTGAAATGAAGGAAAAAATGTTAAGGGCAGCCAGAGAGAAAGGTCGGGTTACCCACAAAGGGAAGCCCATCAGACTAACAGCGGATCTCTTGGCAGAAACTCTACAAGCCAGAAGAGAGTGGGGGCCAATATTCAACATTCTTAAAGAAAAGAATTTTCAACCCAGAATTTCATATCCAGCCAAACTAAGCTTCGTAAGTGAAGGAGAAATAAAATACTTTACAGACAAGCAAATGCTGAGAGATTTTGTCACCACCAGGCCTGCCCTAAAAGAGCTCCTGAAGGAAGCACTAAACATGGAAAGGAACAACCGGTACCAGCCGCTGCAAAATCATGCCAAAATGTAAAGACCATCGAGACTAGGAAGAAACTGCATCAGCTAACGAGCAAAATAACCAGCTAACATCATAATGACAGGATCAAATGCACACATAACAATATTAACTTTAAATGTAAATGGACTAAATGCTGCAATTAAAAGACACAGACTGGCAAATTGGATAAAGAGTCAAGACCCATCAGTGTGCTGTATTCAGGAAACCCATCTCACATGCAGAGACACACATAGGCTCAAAATAAAAGGATGGAGGAAGATCTACCAAGCAAATGGAAAACAAAAAAAGGCAGGGGTTGCAATCCTAGTCTCTGATAAAACAGACTTTAAACCAACAAAGATCAAAAGAGACAAAGAAGGCCATTACATAATGGTAAAGGGATCAATTCAACAAGAGGAGCTAACTATCCTAAATATATATGCACCCAATACAGGAGCACCCAGATTCATAAAGCAAGTCCTGAGTGACCTACAAAGAGACTTAGACTCCCACACATTAATAATGGGAGACTTTAACACCCCACTGTCAACATTAGACAGATCAACAAGACAGAAAGTCAACAAGGATACCCAGGAATTGAACTCAGCTCTGCACCAAGTGGACCTAATAGACATCTACAGAACTCTCCACCCCAAATCAACAGAATATACATTTTTTTCAGCACCACACCACGCCTATTCCAAAATTGACCACATAGTTGGAAGTAAAGCTCTCCTCAGCAAATGTAAAAGAACAGAAATTATAGCAAACTATCTCTCAGACCACAGTGCAATCAAACTAGAACTCAGGATTAAGAAACTCACTCAAAACCGCTCAACTACATGGAAACTGAACAACCTGCTCCTGAATGACTACTGGGTACATAACGAAATGAAGGCAGAAATAAAGATGTTCTTTGAAACCAATGAGAACAAAGACACAACATACCAGAATCTCTGGGACACATTCAAAGCAGTGTGTAGAGGGAAATTTATGGCACTAAATGCCCACAAGAGAAAGCAGGAAAGATCCAAAATTGACACCCTAAAATCACAATTAAAAGAACTAGAAAAGCAAGAGAAAACACATTCAAAAGCTAGCAGAAGGCAAGAGATAACTAAAATCAGAGCAGAACTGAAGGAAATAGAGACCCAAGAAACCCTTCAAAAAATTAATGAATCCAGGAGCTGGTTTTTTGAAAGGATCAACAAAATTGATAGACCGCTAACAAGACTAATAAAGAAAAAAAGAGAGAAGAATCAAATAGACGCAATAAAAACTGATAAAGGGGATATCACCACCGATCCCACAGAAATAGAAACTACCATCAGAGATTACTACAAACACCTCTACGCAAATAAACTAGAAAATCTAGAAGAAATGGATAAATTCCTCGACACATACACTCTCCCAAGACTAAACCAGGAAGAAGTTGAATCTCTGAATAGACCAATAACAGGATCTGAAATTGTGGCAATAATCAATAGCTTACCAACCAAAAAGAGTCCAGGACCAGATGGATTCACAGCCGAATTCTACCAGAGGTACAAGGAGGAACTGGCACCATTCCTTCTGAAACTATTCCAATCAATAGAAAAAGAGGGAATCCTCCCTAACTCATTTTATGAGGCCAGCATCATCCTGATACCAAAGCTGGGCAGAGACACAACCAAAAAAGAGAATTTTAGACCAATATCCTTGATGAACACTGATGCAAAAATCCTCAATAAAATACTGGCAAACCGAATCCAGCAGCACCTCAAAAACCTTATCCACCATGATCAAATGGGCTTCATCCTGGGATGCAAGGCTGGTTCAACATACTCAAATCAATAAATGTAATCCAGCATATAAACAGAACCAAAGACAAAAACCACGTGATTATCTCAATAGATGCAGAAAAGGCCTTTGACAAAATTCAACAACCCTTCATGCTAAAAACTCTCAATAAATTAGGTATTGATGGGATGTATCTCAAAATAATAAGAGCTATCTATGACAAACCCACAGCCAATATCATACTGAATGGGCCCAAACTGGAAGCATTCCCTTTGAAAACTGGCACAAGACAGGGATGCCCTCTCTCACCACTCCTATTCAACATAGTGTTGGAAGTTCTGGCCAGGGCAATTAGGCTGGAGAAGGAAATAAAGGGTATTCAATTAGGAAAAGAGGAAGTCAAATTGTCCCTGTTTGCAGCCGACATGACTGTATATCTAGAAAACCCCATTGTCTCAGCCCAAAATCTCCTTAAGCTGATAAGCAACTTCAGCAAAGTCTCAGGATACAAAATCAATGTACAAAAATCACAAGCATTCTTATACACCAATAGCAGACAGAAAGCCAAATCATGAGTGAACTCCCATTCACAATTGCTTCAAAGAGAATAAAATACCTAGGAATCCACCTTACAAGGGACGTGAAGGACCTCTTCAAGGAGAACTACAAACCACTGCTCAATGAAATAAAAGAGGATACAAAGAAATGGAAGAACATTCCATGATCATGGGTAGGAAGAATCAATATCATGAAAATGGCCATACTGCCCAAGGTAATTTATAGATTCAATGCCATCCCCATCAAGCTACCAATGACTTTCTTCACAGAATTGGAAAAAACTACTTTAAAGTTTATATGGAACCAAAAAAGAGCCCGCATCGCCAAGTCAATCCTAAGCCAAAAGAACAAAGTCGGAGGCATCACGCTACCTGACTTCAAACTATACTACAAGGCTACAGTAACCAAAACAGCATGGTACTGGTACCAAAACAGAGATATAGACCAATGGAACAGAACAGAGCCCTCAGAAATAATGCCGCATATCTACAACTATCTGATCTTTGACAAACCTGAGAAAAACAAGCAATGGGGAAAGGATTCCCTATTTAATAAATGGTGCTGGGAAAACTGGCTAGCCATATGTAAAAAGCTGAAACTGGATCCCTTCCTTACACCTTACACAAAAATCAATTCAAGATGGATTAAAGACTTAAATGTTAGACCTAAAACCATAAAAACCCTAGAAGAAAACCTAGGCATTACCATTCAGGACATAGGCATGGGCAAGGACTTCATGTCTAAAACACCAAAAGCAATGGCAACAAAAGCCAAAATTGACAAATGGGATCTAATTAAACTAAAGAGCTTCTGCACAGCAAAAGAAACTACCATCAGAGTGAACAGGCAACCCACAAAATGGGAGAAAATTTTCGCAACCTACTCATCTGACAAAGGGCTAATATCCCGAATCTACAATGAACTCCAACAAATTTACAAGAAAAAAACAAACAACCCCATCAAAAAGTGGGCAAAGGACATGAACAGACACTTCTCAAAAGAAGACATTTATGCAGCCAAAAAACACGTGAAAAAATGCTCACCATCACTGGCCATCAGAGAAATGCAAGTCAAAACCACAATGAGTTATCATCTCACACCAGTTAGAATGGCAATCATTAAAAAGTCAGGAAACAACAGGTGCTGGAGAGGATGTGGAGAAATAGGAACACTTTTACACTGTTGGTGGGACTGTAAACTAGTTCAACCATTGTGGAAGTCAGTGTGGTGATTCCTCAGGGATCTAGAACTAGAAATACCATTTGACCCAGCCATCCCATTACTGGGTATATACCCAAAGGACTATAAATCATGCTGCTATAAAGACACATGCACACATATGTTTATTGTGGCACTATTCACAATAGCAAAGACTTGGAACCAACCCAAATGTCCAACAACGATAGACTGGATTAAGAAAATGTGGCACATATACACCATGGAATACTATGCAGCCATAAAAAATGATGAGTTCATTTCCTTTGTAGGGACATGGATGAAATTGGAAATCATCATTCTCAGTAAACTGTCACAAGAACAAAAAACCAAACACCGCATATTCTCACTCATAGATGGGAATTGAACAATGAGAACATATGGACACAGGAAGGGGAACATCACACTCTGGGGACTGTTGTGGGGTGGGGGGAGGGGGGAGGGATAGCATTGGGAGATATACCTAATGCTAGATGACGAGTTAGTGGGTGCAGCGCACCAGCATGGCACATGTATACATATGTAACTAACCTGCACATTGTGCACATGTACCCTAAAACTTAAAGTATAATAATAAAAAAAAAAGAAAAAAAATTGCCAGCCATGGTGGCATTCATCTCTAGTCCCAGCTACTCCAGAGGCTGAGGCAGGAGGATTGCTTGATCCCAGGTGGTCGAGGCTGCAGTGAGCCCTGATTGTACCACGGCACTCCAGCCTCGGAGACAGAGTGAGACCCAGTCTCTAGAAAGAAAAGAATTCTACAGGGGGATAAGCATTTCTCATTGAAATAATTCTTTGTGCTGTGGTGAACTGCAGAGTCAGCCAGCAGCTCATGTTAAATTTGCCCCCTCTCCTGGGTGACTGGGGCTCACTGCCTCACCCGGGCTTGAGTGCTCTCGGCCCCTGTGGTGTGTGGTGTGGCTTGCCTCCCTCTGCACCTGCCTGAGGCACAGCCACTCCCTCTGAGACTATGTCTGTTGGCATCAGAGTCTTCATAGATGAGCACCCAGGGAGCATGGAGCAGAGGAGTGACACATTATTTAAAATAAGACATACGTTGGCATAAACTCTGCTGATTTTGTGCAAAAGAATAGAGGGCTATGTCCTGGATTTTAAAAGTCCTACGTTAAAATCTGTCATTTTATTTTATTATTCTTATTTATTTATTGAGACAGAGTCTTGCTCTGTCCCCCAGGCTGGAGTGCAGTGGTGCCGTCACCGCTCCTTGCAGCCTCGACCTCCTGGGCTCAAGCGATCCTCCAGCCTCAGCCTCCGGAGCAGCTGGGACTGCAAGCATGCACCACCACACCCAGCTATTATTTTCTATTTTTAGTAGAGATGGATGAGGTCTCACTGTGTTGCCCAGGCTGTCTTGAACTCCTAGGCTCAGGTAATCCTCCTACCTTGGCCTCCCAAAGTGCCAGGATAATAGGCCTGAGCCACTGCATCCAGCCTTAAAATCTGTAATTTTGGCTGGGCATGGTGGCTCACGCCTGTAATCTCAGCACTTTCGGAGGCCGAGATGGGTGGATCACCTGAGGTCAGGAGTTCAGGACCAGCCTGGCGAACATGGTGAACACCTGTCTCTACTAAAAAATACAAAAATCAGCCGGCGTGGTGGCAGGCACCTGTAATCCCAGCTACTCGGGAAGCTGAGACAGGAGAATTTCTTGAACCCGGGAGGTGGAGGTTACAGTGAGCTGAGATCCGAACATTGCACTCCAGCCTGGGCAACAAGAGCAAAACTTCATCTCAAAAAAAGAAAAAAAAAATCTGTAATTTTAATTGTCTTCTGTTATCTGTGCAACGTATGTAAAAGATGTTTCAGTGAATTGTGTGTGACTGTGTATTGGTGAGTAGGAGCACTGAGAGTGGGATGATTCGTCCTGGCCCTCAGTTTCTCTACAAGCCCTTCTTCCACTCGGTGAGTGACACAGAAGGATAAGGGACTATTTCACCTTACAGGCTCCCCGCTTACTTGGGATGTCTGAGCTCCTTCTCTCCCAAGGTCTTCTTCAGGGACTTCTCCTAAATGCTTGGAGAGGTTGGAATTCCAGCGCTCCCACTCACCCACTCACCCACTCACCAGCTGCGCAGTTTTAGATTTGCCTAAACTCTCTGAGCTTTCAGCCAAAATGGGTGAGATGAGGATTACATGAAATCACGTGTGCAAAGTGTTTGGCGATAGAACGTGCTTGCTGTTCTGTTTGGGGGGCAGCTGAGATTGTTATCCTGGGGGTGGGCGTGAGTGGTAGAGAGGCTTCCAGAAACGTATTGTGGTTGTCCATGGTCACCAGGTGGAGCTGGGTTTAAAAACATGTTGATGAATTCCTTAACTTCGGAAGTGTATTACTTAGCAGGGAGAGACACGTACGGCTTCTCGGGTCTCCGTACCCTTGGTGGTTTCTGGAAGGATCCTAGAGTTGCAGAGTTGTGAGGAGCTGTCTCTTGGGTTCTGAAAGGAGGAATTGTGGCTGGGAAGCCCTGGTCTCAACTCTGGTGGCCGTGGGCACAGCTCTTCCCATGGATGGTCCAGGCTCAGCTCCTGGGAAGGGGTGGTAACCAGTAGGTAGGGCCTGGGCTGCCTGAAGCCTGTCCCCTTCCTGTTCCTTGAGTAGTGAATCCGTTTTTGGATAAGCTGCTCGTGAGGAGCGACGGCCAGTCTCTCACACCGAGAGTGGTGGAAGAAAGGACTCTTGCCACTTCCTCATGATCTCTAACAGATGTGGTAGACGGTGTGCAGCCGTTGGTAAATGTGACTTATTTTGTAAGCATTTAAAAGAGAGAAAAATTAAACAATTGAAAGAGGGATGGATACTTCGGATAGCATTCTCTACAAAGTGGAGTTAGCTACTGGAAACACAGGGGAGTGATCTGATTTCTATAATAAAAGACTATTTTGCTTCAATTGTAGTAGAACTAGTGTTCCGGCCAAAAAAAGCAAAGCTGATCTTGTATCTACAAGCGTTTGGAGAAAAACGTAGTCTTAAAAACAACAACTACTACTGCTGCTAATATATAATTAAAACTGTGTGGTTTAAAAAATTTATTTACAAAGAGTAGGCATCAAAGCAGGTAACCAGGATGTGGGGAATCTGACGGGTTCACAGGGGCCAATCCTGTCGATTTGCAAGGACTAGGAATTACTCGTCAGCTGTCCTCCCTGGGAGCACCGTGCCTGCGGCCATGAGATCTCTCTAACAACTCCATACCCTTGCGGGTTCCTTACAATTCACAAGTGCGCTAACTTACACACAGCTATGCCATAAGGAACGCAAGATACCCAGAAACTGACATCCTTTCCACTCAGGTCCACCCTCGTCAAAAGCACCTTTTCTCTTTCCTCTGCTTCACTCAAGGTGTATGTCAAAGGGCTCTACTTGGAACCAAAAGTATTTAAATTTTTGGATTTGGGAATATTTCCATATACATAATGAGATATCTTGGGGATGGGACCCAAGTCTAGACATGAAATTCACTTATGTTTCATATACATCTCATATGCATACCCTGAAGGTAATTTTACACAATATTTAAATAAATCTGTGCATGAAACAAAGTTGGTGCACATTGGCCCATCAGAAAGCAAAGGTGTTCCGGGCAGGGCATGATGGCTCAAGCGTGTAATCCCAGCACTTTGGGAGGCCGAGGCGGGCGGATCACTTTAGGCCAGGAGTTCGAGATCAGCCTGATCAACATGGCAAAAACCCGTCTCTACTAAAAACAAAAAAATTAGCTGGGCGTGGTGGCGTGTGGCTGTAATCCTAGCTACTTGGGAGGCTGAGGCAGGAGAATCGCTTTAACCCAGGAGGCGGAGGTTGCAGTGAGCCGAGATTGCAATAGTGCACTCCAGTCTGGGTGACAGAGCCAGAGGCCATCAGAAAATAAAAAAGAAAGAAAGAAAGAAGAAGGAAGGAAGGAAGGAGGAATGAAGGAAGAAAAAGAAAGAAAGAGAGAGAAAGAAAGAAAGAAAGGTGATCCTATCTCAGCCACCCGTGAGAACAGCCTGTGGTTGTTTGGCATCACCATCCTTCCTGACTCTGGATTTATGTGATACCAATAAGCAATCATTTTCTTACATTTATTCACACTTTATAGTCAAAAAATATGACATACGTATCTGGTGTGTGGAAGATATGTTGCAGCTGAAGGGGGCTGGGAGGGTCTTTGTTCCCTTGGGGATGCTGAATAAACTACGTCTTGTGTGGCTGTGTTTTGGCTGCTACCCATCAATGAGGTCAGGTGTGGAATTTTCCACCTGGGGCATCATGTCAGTGCTTAAAAATTTCAGATTTTGGAGCATTTTGGATTTTTGGATGAGGGATGCTAACCTGATAATAGCTAACGCTCATACAGCACTGTGCGCTCACAATCTCTAAATGCTTTAATCTGTATCGAGTCATTACTCCACACAACCACCCTGTGAAGCAGGCACTGTCAACAACCCACTTCATGGATGAGGACACCAAGGCACCAGGAGGCTACGTAATCACCCAAGACCACACAGGTAAGTGTCAGAGCTGAGACCCAAACCCAGCAGTCAGACTCTAGAGCCGATTCCCTCCCAACCACTATTCTTTACTGCCTGTAAATGAAAACTAAGTTAAAATTCTAGCCCGATTTCCATGAGCTGGTCATTTGGACAGTACCCAGCTAAATGGAATCCTGCCACCTAACGGCACCGTCACTAGATGGCAGTGAAGACACCAGGTCGGTTTTCCTCCCTGCAGACTCTGCCTTGACGTCTCCGGGCGTTGCAGAAATCACACCGCCCTGATGTCAGCCTTAGCAGCGAGGATTCCTCCAGACTTCCAACCTAAACGTTCAGAGTCACTTCCGAGGCTCAACTCAGGACACTGTGCTCAGGGGAAAATAGTCAAATACTAGATGTCAAAACCTCAAAAGAAAAGAGTGAGTTTAGAAAAACAGTGGTTCTTCAAGGAGCCCCAGCCAGGGGGTGCATCTTGGAACTGCTAAAAGCTGAAGAAAAGAGTCCTGGGCAAAATTTGCAATAAAAAGGCACGTGGTAATCATCGACCTCTAGACAGAGACATGGCTAGACTTCAGGTCCCACGGCCTCAGTTACATCACCCTCGGGAGGGTGTGGCCTGTTCTTGAAGACCTCTAGAAAGGTCGCTCCTCAGCTTGCAGCCAGTACCACCCCACCTCCCGCTGCAGGTGGACAGGGCCTGCAGTGTTCTGCAGCTGCTCTTCTCCTGCCTCCCAAATCCTGGCTGGCCTATAACTTGCTTTGACTGATGCATTGCAGCACCCAGCAATGTGCAAGGTCAGAGTCTGGGCCTCCAGGAACCTTGTGCATCCACCATGACCTTCTCGGAATGCACTTGTGGCCTGTAAGGAAGCCCTGGAGGAGGCAAGCTGAGTCACGACTGCCCATGTGAAGAAGGAGGGCCAGCACACACCACCAGGCCTGTGAGGCAGGCCCTGCAGACCTGTCCAGCGGGTGCCAGCTGGGTGCAGCCTCCCAAGCGAGCTCGAACAGCCCCCAGAGCCAGGAGACAGAATGGATCGTCCTGGTTGTAAGCCACCTAGTT